>NC_000011.10:32029696-32181212 GCF_000001405.40 Homo sapiens | reverse complement strand
CAACTCTTATTATTAGAAATTTTAGAATTGCAGATTAGCAGAAACATCGCAATTGAAAAGCACCGTGATTCCATTATATAACAGTAACTGCTATGAAGATCATGGTAGCTATCCTTCCAGACCTTTCTCTGTACATTCACATACATATATATACAGTCATGCATTGCTTGAGGATGGGGATACCTTCTGAGAAATGTGTTGATGGGTTATTTTATCATTGTGCAAACACCATAGAGTGGACTTACTCAAATCTAGATGGAATAGGCTACTACACACCTAAGAAACATGGTATAGCCTATGGCTCCTAGGCTACAAACCTGTACAGCATCTTACTGTGCTGAATGTAGGCAATTGCAACACAATGGTAAGCATTTGTGTATCTAAACATAGAAGAGGTACCATAAAAATATAGTATTATAATCCTATGGAATAACTATCATACATGCAGTCTGTCACTGAGTGAAATGTCATTTTTCATGCATAAATTTATTTTTAAATAAAATGGGATTACACTGTAGTTACTATTTTATTCTATGCTGCTTTGATTTAATAATGTGGAATGAACACTTTTTCTCTCTGTCCAAAACATTAATCTACTTTAGACTGCTGGTGTTCCATTGAATAGGTACCATAATTTCATTAAGGAATCAATCTATGGTTAAGCATGTTTCCAGCTTTTCACTAAACAATCCTTGGAAGATTATCTATACAGCTGAATCTCTGAACCTATCCACGCTTATTTATTTGGCATAAATTCCTAAATTGAGAGTCCTAAGAATGCATACATTTTTAAAGACTTTTGGCTAATATGCCAAATTTCCCCCAGACAGTTTCTCCCCAGCACTGTCGAGGACTGCCCTTTGGGTGGAGGGTTCATCTACCCAGGATGAAGAGCTGATATCTTTGGTAGCTTTGTAACTGCTCCAGCCCCAAACCACACGTTCCACCCAAAGGCAGTACAGTGTACACGTACTTATTCTGTAATGAAGGAGTGCAGTAAAGAGGAGGAGGGAGGGATCAGAGTACAAACCCCCAAGGCATGACAGGATAGGATTGGCCACGTCTGTCAGATTGTTTGGGGAAGTCATGTTCTCAATAAAATGAACCCAGCAGACAGATCGAAGACAGAATTCAGTGTGTGCTTATGAGAAGCTTTTGCTCACATTCCCCTCAGCCAGTAGCAGAGAGACTTTCTTATGAACATATTTGGCTTGAAGTGTTTGCATCTACTGAATCCTGTGGAAAAAGAGTGGACACCAGGCCGGGTGCAGTGGCTCAAGCTTGTAATCCCAGCACTTTTGGAGGCCCAGGCAGGTGGATCACCTGAGGTCAGGAGTTTGAGACCAGTCTGGCCAACATAGTGACATAGTGAAACCCTGTCTCTACTAAAGACACAAAAATTAGCTGGGTGTGGTGGCACATGCCTGTAGTCCCAGCTACTCAAGAGGCTGAGACAGGAGAATCACTTGAACCCGGGAGGCAGAGGTTGCAGTGAGCCAAGATCGCGCCATTGCACTCCAGCCTGGGTGACAGAGCGAGACTCCGTCTCAAAAACAAAAAAGTGGACACCAAATGGTTAATGGAGAACAAGAGTCAGGAGGAGGAGAGGCAGGCCAGAGTTGTGGGGGCAACAACTTGCTGATGACATAGTCCAGCCTGGTCCCAGCCTGTGAGGCCACCGTGAAATGTCCTGTGCCTTGCTAGTCTGCCCCAAAAGTGATCCTGACATGGCCTCAGTTCCCAGACCCTCGGCGCTTCTGTTTGGGAGTCCCAACCCTATTTCCTGGGCTGGAGCCAACTGGATCCCTGTCTCCATCACTTTGACATGAGCCTGGTAGAGTCACCTGAGTCACCTGGTTTGCTTGTTTGGCTAAAGGACCAGGCTTTAGCACCTTTTGACCTTGGGCCTTCTCTGGCTCCAAGTAACTGGAGGCTGTTAGAGTCAAAGCATCTCTGAGGGAAGAGACCATGTCACTTATGTTCTCTGGGTCCTCTCCATCAGTCTCTTTTTCTGTATCTAGTCCCATGGACCTGGTTTCCCTGTACCTCTTTGCCAGGCTTTTTTGGCGAATAAAAGCCATCAAGAGAAGAGATAAGGGATTGGAGAGTGGGTAGCCAGGTGGACAGACACAGAGAAGTGAAGGTTCTTCCTACAACAGTAGGCAGCTGAGGAGGCACATGAAGGCATGCAGAGAAGTGGAGCCCAGGCACCCTGGCACGCAGGCGCTGTGAGCCTGGTGGGTGTGCTGCTGGTGGAGGATCAGCCGATGAAGTAGTTCTGTGGCATCTGCCGAGTCCTATTAAGTGCCACGCACCAGCAGCCGCAGGAGATTTAAGAAAAGAAAAAGCCACTAAAACATCCCACCTGTTACCAAGGAGCTGGCAGAGGAGAAGCTGACCTCAACATTCACAGGAAACTGTGGCTGCTTAGGGAAGAGGTGTGTGCAGGGGCCTTTGGGAGCAGAGGGCAGAAGGAGCCTCACTCTGGCAGCACACAGCTTCCCAGAAGTCTAAGGCGCACTGAGTCTTGGGAAGGAGTTTGCCAGGTCGAAAGCAGAGGCTAGACAGCAAGGCGGACGGGTGGGCAAAGGACAGAGCATGGAGGGCTGAACATCGGTGGAGAATCTGGGGAAAAGGGGGAGTTCCACAGCCTGGAGGGTCTGGGTTACTATGTTAAGGAGGAGGAACATGACCTTGTAGGCAATTTAAAAGCTATTTCTCAGGAGCAACAAAAAGGTAGCTGAGATAGAAAAATTAGTCTTTGAGAAGAAGGGGAAAATTTTGGAGGAGGAAGGAGGATTCGAAGAAGTGGAAAAGCAGAGGAAAAGTAGGTCAGAGTGGGATGGGGGGGTGGCATGAGCAACAGAGGTGGGATTAAACAAGGCATGTGGAGGGCATGAGGAAAGACCTTCATGGTTGGCTGCAGGGTGTGTCAGGGGTGTTGGGAGATGAGGCTGAAAATAGATCATGTGGGGAGAGAGGAGGCATTGGAGGATCTTTGAGCAGATACAGGGAAATTAAAGTAAATGTTACAGGAGGATTCACTTCTTGGCCATGTATAGATGGTTTGGACAGAGGGAGAGACTGAAGGCAACCAGGCCAGTTATGAGGTTCTTGTACAAGTCCTGTGAATTCCATCTTGAGACCAAGTCCTCTTTGCTTCCTGATTGTCTGGGTCCTAAAATTACCATTACCATAGGGATTGAAGAAGGATTATCAAAAAATATATATCTAGACAGTATTATTTTACCTCCCTACAGAAATGGCTTTCTTGAGTTTCAACTTGAACCTCTGTGCTTGCCTGTTATGGAGTGCTGACAAAAGAAGCTCTAAAGAACATTTCTGTATATTTTGCTAAGCTGTCATTAAACACATTGACAGGGGTGGGTGTGTTGGCTCACGCCTGTAATCCCAGCACTTTGGGAGGCCAAGAAGGGTGGGTCACTCGAAGCCAGGAGTTCAAGACCAGCCTGTCCAACATAACGAAACCCAATCTCTACTAAAAATACAAAAATTAGCTGGGCATGGTGGCAGGCACCTGTAGTCCCAGCTACCCGGAAAGCTGAGGCATGAGAATTGCTTGAATCCAAGAGGCGGAGGCTGCAGTGAGCTGAGATCATGCCACTGCACTCCAGCCTGGGTGACAGAGCAAGACCCTGTCTTAGAATAAATAAATAAATAAATAAACAGACAAACACATTGACAGTCCTTTTACTCAGTGACCTTTCTGTAAGTAACTACACAATCAGTTGCTCTCAAATTTAGCATGAGGAAGGAAACACATCTATTCAGTCAAACTTATACATCCCTTTGAAGGCAACAGGTAATGAGAACCATATATCCTAGTGTACTTGGCACTTTTTCCTTGGCTGCCAGGAAGCTCAGAACTAAATTTGCTTTGCGAATGTGGTAACTGCCTTACTCAGTTGCTCTTTGTTCTTTCTCATTGACTCCCTATCTTTTTTTTTTTAAAAAAAATTCTTTTAAAAATTTATTATTTTTAGTATGTTTAAATAACATAATCTGCCTTAGATACTTCTGGGAAATAGACTGTATGTATAATATGATTACATATTAAATGAAATAATTTCCTCCTCCCTGGGCAGGCAGCCCTTACTGTGCTTTTCCAGGCAGCCAGAAATCCTCTCTTTGGTCCCGTTGGCCCTGGCTCATGTCGAGTTGGGATGCCCAGCCTGCCTCTCCATCAGTTCATCCCGCCAACCTCCTTAGTGAGATACACTCGCTCTGAGCCCATCCGCCTCTGTTCGCTGGCCTTTTTGGCTTGAGATGTTTTCTATCTTTTCTATATTTCAAAGCTTTGTGGTAAATAATCAATTCAAACCAGCACCGAGTCTCTCTTTCTGTAATTCTAAAAACCCATTAAATTATATTGTTGGGAGAAAACAATAGCTGTGCTAATCATGCCCTGTGCATGCGCATCTTAATTTCCCCAGAGGCCTGAATATGAATTTTTACTAACATGTTAATTTTGTGTGTTAATCAGTAGCTGTAGGCCGAATGAATGGATTGACTATGTAAAACTGTTTGATATTGAAACAACTCCTTTTGACCCCCTCAAATTGGCTTCATTCCCCTAAAGACGGTTAAAGTTAATTAAGCACTCAATAGGTTTATGGTGTTTAAATTAAAATATATTACTCCTCATTGTGTAGTCATCAAGTGAGAAAGACATCCTCCTCCTGGCTGCCTGGCTGGCTAATGGGCTTATCAAAATTCATGATGTAATAAGAAGGCCGACAAGTGCATGAGAGACTCTGGCTGTCACTCAAGGAAAAAACATGGACCACCTTTGCCCACTAGAGGGCACAAGAGAGCCATGAATGCCCATAGCTTGGCGGGTTGGTTTTGGGGATGCAAGTAGGAAAGGCCCTTTGTAGGCCAATTTCTGTCGCTTGTAAAAAAAAACCAATTTATTCTTTTTTTTCTTAATAAATGTGGAGCTCTCTTTATTTCGCTAACTCCCTTCTTTCTTTCCTTCCTTGTTTATATTTTATACCCCTCTCCTTGCTTCTTAGATTTATTTGTGATTCCGCTCTTGACAGTAGTATGCAGTAGAAAATAGCCCACATGGCTTTCAGGAAAAAACAAAACAAAACGTTGCCATCCTTCCTCTGGATAACTTTTCCATAAAATTTTCATTGTATGTGGGCGGGGGGAGCAGGAGCCTTGTGCTTCCCGAGAAAATCACTGACACGGTGCTGAGAAAAATATATAAAATAACACTTAACTCCTCTTTCCAGAAGGACATGTGAAAGCTATAATTGTACCTGCTGACTTTCCCTCTGGGCCTCTCTGGGGCTGGGGGTAGGGACTGTGGCTTTGCAACCTACCATACAGTGAGTGTTTAGATCGGGAAGAATTGCCTAATGAAACCGGCAGAGTGAAGGGGAAGGTAGTGGGGAATCCTGCAGGAATACCAGCTCTGAATTAAAACAGGGCCTAGGCCCCACGAGCTGATCAGGGTGTTGCAACTCATGTCAGATCCAAACCTGCCAGCAAATCCCATTCTTGACGATGAGGACATTAGTCAGATGGGGACAATTGTCTGTGGTCATTTTTGGCAATGTGACTGGTGGTAGAGATTGTTGGGAGATTCAAAAGGATTCTTACCAGTGGATCTATAGCTCATTTTTCATTTTTGTAGAATGGTTTTAAGAAATTTATACTTTTAGGTAGCTCTTAATTGTGTGTATGTGTGCATGCATGTTAGTGTGTGTAGGGGTGAGTCACGAAATGGACATAAGATACCACTTTTAAAGATAAGTAGCCATGAGTATCAGACAAGGAGAAAATGGGTGATATGACAAATGAAATAGGAGTCATTGCAAGGAAAACTTAAAGAATACCAGGTTGCAAAAAAAATTGTGTTTAAAGAGGTGGGAGTCAGGCCAGGCATGGTGGCTCATGTCCGTAATCCTAGCACTTTGGGATGCCAAGGTGGGCAGACTGCTTGAGCCCAGGAGTTCGAGTTCAGCCTGGGCAACATGGTGAAACCCTGTTTCTATAGAAAATACAAAAAATTAGCCGGGCATAGTGGTACATACCTGTAGTCCCAGCTACCCTGGGAGACTGAGGTAGGAGAATCACCTGAGCTGAGGCAGTCAGGCTGCTGTGAACCACCATTGTACCTCTGCACTCCAGCCTGGGTGACAGAATGAGACCCTGTCTCAAAAAAAAAAAAAAAAAAAAGAAAAGAAAAGAAAAAAGAAAAAGGGCTGGGCGCGGTGACTCACGCCTGTAATCCCAGCACTTTGGGAGGCCGAGGCAGGCAGATCACGAGGTCAGGAGATAGAGACCATCCTGGCTAACATGGTGAAACCCCGTCTCTACTAAAAATACAAAAAATTAGCTGGGCGTGGTGGCGGGCGCCTGTAGTCCCAGTTACTTGGGAGGCTGAGGCAGGAGAATGGTGTGAACCCGGAAGGCGGAGGTTGTAGTGAGCCGAGATCGTACCACTGCACTCCAGCCTGGGCGACAGATAGAGAGTCCGTCTCAAACAAAAAAAAAAAAAAGGAAAGAAAAAAGAAAAGGAGGTGGACAGACATTTTGAAGGGCATTGTTTGGCTGTCTTCTAATCTTCTTATTCATGTTTTCAGTAATAGCATGGGGCTTTATTTTCAAAATACTTTCGATTGCTAATAGTTAATAGTGAATATTCCTCAAGGGCAGTGGTTTTCCAGCAATGGGGTAGGGACCAGAACCTGGAGGGTGTGGCCAAGGGGCTGGGGGCTCTGCCCCTGCTTCTACCAGAACGCTCTGCCTTTTTGGGGCTCCACTTAAGATCTAATTTGGAAAAGAGGGTTCCACTGCTAAAAGAGTAAAAGAGAGAGATAGAGGCAAATTTAAAACCTCTGGTTTAAGGCTGGCCTTGCTGGCTTATGCCTGTAATCTCAACACTTTGGGAAATTGAAGCAGGAACATCTCTCAAGCCCAGGAGTTCAAGACCAGCCTGGGCAACATAGGGAGATCCTGTGTCTACTAAATAAATAAATAAATAAATAAATAAATAAATAAAAATTAGCTGGGTGTGGTGGCAATCTCTTGTAGTCCCAGCTACTCAGGAGGCTGAGGTGGGATGATTGCTTGAGCCCTGGAGGTTGAGGCTGCAGGGAGCTGTGATCACACCACTGCACCCAGCCTGGGCAATAGAGTAAGACCCTGTTTCAATAAATAATAAGTAAATAATAAAATTAAACCTCTGGTTGACTGCCTTCTGGTTTACAGAGTTTTCCCATGATCTCACTTGGACCTCACAGAGACTTCATCCTCCCCAATCTCTGTTTTCAGAAGAGGAAGCAAAGTTCATCAAGATGAAGAAATATATTCCTTGTTACACAGTGAGTGGCAGAGCTTGGACTTGAGCCTGAGCCTTCAGAATCCAAATTCAGGACTCCTCCCTTACAGCAGGATAGAGTAGAGTGAGAACCTAAGATCAGACTTGAAGAGGGACCTGATGTGTGATGGCACCCTGGGTGACACAAGGAAAAGTCTCCAGGGAGAGGGTGGTGGTGATTGATTAGCCGGGTGGAGGGAGAAACCTGAGATTTAATAGGCAGGACAGCAGGAGGCAGCAGTGCCCCAGAAAGGGAAGAAACCATCGGAGCCTCCAGCGTCCTGATTGCCGGCCACAGCCCTCCCAGCCAGTCCTAGCCTCTGCATCTGGGACCAGGGATCCTGCCACTGGGCATCTCCTTTCATTTTGGGATTGTCAGCCTCATTCCAGTTCTTCAGCAGGTAGGAAACTGAGTCACAGGGTACCTAAGCTGGCCAGGAATCAGCCCTGCAAATCTGAGGGCCCAGCCCACAGAGTCTCCCATGGCTTTCTGGGGAAACGATTGACGTTATGGGAGTGAAATGGGAACAACTGTGGCCCATCAGCCCCGTGTGTTTAGGGACAGCCCCTCTGGGCAGCCTCCTTTCCAGAATCTCCCACGGATCCTTTGACCACAAAGCCGTGCACACGGTCATTTCATTCACTATTAATGTGCGCCCTTCCCCTGGCGTGGCTGGCTCTTTCTTAAAGTTAACCAGTAACTGGTCTTTTTGTTATCCGATTTCTGTGAGAGGAGCCCTGCCAACAATTCTCACCAAGGGAGCACTTCTGATTTTTGTTTCCTTTCTCTTTCGGGTCTGCGGAAAACCTTTCATGTCCCTTTGTGTCCTAGAGAACGGCACGCCGCCACCCAGAATGTGCCAGCCTACTTGGCTTTCCTCAGCACTGCCGACGGCGCTCTAAACCATTCCCCTAGCATCACATTCCTGACTTCAAACAGGCCAGGGAGATTGAGAGCTCCTCGAATAAGTGGGACTTTCTGGAGATTCTCTTGGGAAGGAGTGACAGGCAGAGAGCAGGAATAATTACACTGAAAGTTTGTTATTTGCTTGCACAGTTTTCTTCCTTTGTGTGGAGTTTATTCCCGGAAGCCCAAAGAGGGGCTTGATAAACAGCAGAAAGGCTACAGAGCCAATTGGCTGGAAAAGAAATGACAATAAAAGTCGCACAGAATGAAGTCTTCTGTCAGCACCCATTTAAGTTAAACAGGTTTACATGTTGCAGCAGAGAATTAACTGTTTGATTTGCTAGAAACCAAGAGAATTTTCAGCACTTGGAGTGAGAAAAAAAAAAAATTTACTTTTAACTTAGGTCTTCAAACCTCCCTCCCCTCCAAAACCAGGACCTAATTGCAATGATTTTCCCATATGGGTCAAAGGGATCATTGGAAAGTCCAAAGGCAAGGCCCTCGGCCCTAAGGGTCTGTAGTTTGCAGCCTAGGAGTACACTCTGTGATAGAAACCTCTCCATGTCATCTCTCCTAATTTGTGCGTGTAATTGACAGCTTGTTAACAGTTCATTAGGAACACTGAAACCCATGTGGCAAAAACAAATCTATCTAGCAGAGAGGATGTAGTCCCTTCTTCTGAAAGCCTGTTTATTAAAATTTTTGCTAGAAACAAAATAGCGTGGCAGGAAATAACCCACTGCATCCTTTCAAAACAAGAACTTTCAGTCCCTCTCTGCTAAACTTCTTGTTTCCTGGGACACAGTGTTGTCTGGCTGGGCTTTGATCGAGCAGAACAGGAACCCGTGGGCCTGTGAGGGGACATACTCAAAGGTCCTCGGGGCAGCGAAGGGAAGACTCATCCATCCATGAACACAGATCAGTCACTCTTTTTTTTTTTTTTTTTTTTTTTTTTTTTTTTTGAGACAGCGTCTGGCTCTGTCGCCCAGGCTGGAGTGCAGTGGCGCGATCTCGGCTCACTGCAAGCTCCGCCTCCTGGGTTCACGCCATTCTCCTGCCTCAGCCTCTCAAGTAGCTGGGACTACAGGAGCCCGCCACCGCTCCCGGATCAGCCACTCTTTAAGGCTCGGAGGATTGGGACTTAACAATCCTGTGATCTTCCTGCCCTCCTACTCACTATTTCTCTAGGTCTCTGGAGGTCTTAAATATTGTCTCGGTGGAAGCTTCTGGTAAAACAACTTGCAATCTAATATAATATAATTTCTTATATTTCTCCCTGATTCCCCTGGGGAAAATTAATTGCCCCTTCCTCTCTGTGCCACAGCACTTCACACTTCCTTTCGCTATGTGTGGTCACGTGTGCTCTTGCTACTTAGATGTCTCTCTTGGCCAGAGCATCAGTGAGCTCGTGTATTTTCTCCATCTCTGAATCCTCCGCACTGGGCATTGTTGCTTTTAGGCCATCTTTTAGCATCCCATTCATTCTCAACCACTCCCTCACCACCAACCCCTCACCTCAGTCCCAACCATCTAGGGGATTTATAGAGGAACACATGGACGAGTCTTCAGGCTGAGCTGTGTTGAAATAGGCAGGCTTCTACAAAATGCATTCAATCTCATTTTCCTTTCATTGCATCAGATATTTAAAGAGCACCTACTGTGTTCTAGGACTTGGGTACATAATGGTGAGCAGAACCGACCCTGACCTTATGGATGTCCTGATTGTTAATTACAGTAATTGCTACAGATGATAAACTTGGGAAGAACATTCCATCTTTCAAATGAATGTGGTATTTTAAAGCCCTATGGAGCGGAAAGATACCAGGGAATACTGTAGTATTGAGAATGATTCTTTTTCAAAGTGCATTCCTTGCTTTTTTAGCCTCGGAGTCCCTGGTACACATGGTGCAGTCTTGTCCATAGAAAGAGCTTAAGAAAAAATTTATTTAAAAACCCTTTCATAGAAATTTAACAGCACAAATTTCCTTAAATCATGTTATTGGATCTTATTAGAAGATTTGCCAACCTCACATTTGACATGGCTTTGTAAGGTACTAACAGAATACTTGTACTTTGTTCCAAAAATCTTTCTGTAATTTTTAACTCTTAAGAGGTATCTGTGTCTTAACATCCCTGGATTATATTCAGGCTTTCAATGGAGCAGTCTGAGGATATCCCACCCAAGTTGGGAGGTTTGTTTTCTTAAAAGCGTTGTGCTAAGGAGATTTTTCTCTAGCCAAAGGAGTCTAGTAGTTATGACAGTTCTCTGGAGGGATTGAAATTAATTCCATGTGACATAGTTGAAGTTACTAGATATTTCAGCAATTCCCCCGTTGAATACCCACACATCAGGCAAGATAAAGTAACAAGTTTGGACATATTATGTTGATTGTGGTGGACATTTGTTGGGGCTTCTTCAATATCTACTCTTAGCTTCTCACACTAAGGGACCTTGAGTTTTTTTCTTTGGGAATTCTTCCCTCTCCATTTTCAGCCATACAGTTGGGTGGGATTAACCCCTCTTCAACTCCTGGGGTGGGCCTCAATTGGTCTAACCAGTTAGGAAAGCCAGCAACCACTTGCACTGATTGGTTCGGAGGTGGACATGTGACTCAGTTCTGGCCGATGGCAAAGAGTGAATACTAGGATTTGTGGAGAGGTAGCAGAAGGGGCACTTTCTCCTCTGCTGGGTGTGAGACCTGCCATGTTTGAAGACACTCTGAGATCTCAAGGTGATTTTCTGGAGCTGCAGGAGAGCACTGTGTGAAGCTGAGAGATTGTGTTGATGCAGAGGAACACAGAGTGGGAAGAGCATGAAATCAGATCGTTGGTGACTTCTAGTTATGTGGACTGCTAAAGCACTCACACCCTCTGCCTATTGTTTGAGTGAATTTGAATTGGTTTTTCTGTCACTTGCAACTGAAGAGTTCCTAACTGATAACTACTAATATCAAAGTGTCTAATACATTAAAATCAGTCACTCAGGCATCAGTAATGGAACAGAATTTAACCAAAGACAACAACTGTGAAAGCCTTTGGGTAGGGTAGCTCAGCTGTGGGAACATCAACAGACCCTTTTTACCCTTTAAAACAAAGCAGCTATAGCAGGAATCCAAGGATGGGGATGTGTTCAGGGTCGGGTAGTCTGAGATGCTGGCGATGCCTTGCAAAGCTCATGAATGTTCCACTCTCTTGAGTCTGTTCCATTGCTTGGCATAAAGCAGTTTATCTGTGTGTGTTAAAGGGTAGCCTAAGGAAATCTGCCTGGAAAAGTCCTGGGCCATCATCCCCTGGGTAAGGGAGGGGTCTGAATATCACTTTACATGGAGAGGTAATTAGAGATAATGGGAGCATCTTCGAGCTCCACTAACTGGAAGCCTCTAGACCTGTACTGTCCAATACAGTAGCCAGAAGCCACCAGTGGTGATGTGCTGTAAGTGTAAAATCTACCAGGGATATGTAAGACTTTGTACAAAACAAAAGAGTAAAATTTTCATTTACACATTGAAGTGAAAATATGTGGATATATTGGGTTAAATAAAATATATTATTCACATTAATTTCACCTGATTTTTTTTACTTTTATTAATGTGGCTACTAATGTAGAAAATATAACATTGCGTACATGACTCACGCTCTATTGGATAGTGCTCCTCTAGAAAATTGAGATCACATATTATTTGCTTTGCATGCTAATGGCCCAGAGACAGTTTTCCATGTTGTTTTTTGAGTGTATGAATCATGACTGACAGCTGCCGTTGAGAGCACCAGTCAGCAAGTACCCACAGCCTGTGCCTCTGCTGTGTGTGAGGGGCCTTTCTGTAGATGTTGTATCCTGATGTGGTGAGTCTAAGGAAGGCCACACCCTTGAGAATAAAAGACAATGTTTCCCCTGTACAGAGTGACACTCCTAGAGTTGAAGTCCAGGAAATAGGTGCCCTCAGACAAGAAAGAGGGCCTTGGAAGGGAGGCCTTGGTAGGTTGGAGAGGGGAGTCCCACCCATCTGTCCCTGGACTTCAACCCTTTGGATCTGGACAAAGAGGGTTCTAGAGATGGCTGAAGACACTTCTGGAGTGGGTATAGGGAATGTGGTTTCTGCTACAGAGGCAGGCTGGAAGCAGATAGGGAAAAGATCTTAGGCATGAGACACCACTGAGCCTCACAGTCTGGATTTGCCTCCGTGCGTGTTACTCTGTGTTAATGTCCTTAAGCAAAGTCTGATCTACCCGGTACGACCTGGCTTTGGTTGGGTGAGGACTTCTAGTCCAGGCTGGGTTGAGCCAAGGTGGTCACAGCAGCAGAGCTTAGTGAGACCAGCTGCCCTCAGTGCATGCTTGCTGCATGCACAGCCTCCAAAGATCAGGCTCTGATGCTATCAGGGTTGTTTTTCAATCAAATATTTCTGAGATATATCTGGCAGGACCACCCCAAACTGGTGGTGGAACCTAAAAGTGATCAGATGGTAAGGAAAGACATCCTCCAGCCTGGCTTTGCTCAGCCTGCCTTGCTGAATGACCTCCAGAACTTCCCTATACCCAGACTTCCACTGGCCCAAATCCATGAGTCCCTTCTAGGGTGTCTCCTGACCCCATCTCATCGGACAGAGGGGTGTCTTCTATACCATGTGTCTACTGTAATGATTGCATCTATTATTTGCTAATGCATTTGTTAATGCCCCTGTTTCCTATACAAGATTGTGTACTTCTGAAGGGGAGGGTTCATTATTCTTGGCCCTGACATAATGTCTGACAAAGAGCAGGCATTCAAGTAATATTTTTAAAAGGCAAGTAGATGGTTAAGGACATGAACTTGTATGGGTAAACTTATATAAACGCACAGCTATGCCTGGGTTTGAATTCTGGCCTTACTCCTTACTAGCTAGGGGACCTCTGTTACCCTTTCTCAGCCTCATTATACATGATCATGATGATGCCCACAGAGCTTTATTTCATTCATTCATTCATTCATTCAACAAATATTTATTGAGCACCTTCTATGTGCCAGGCTCTATGCTAGGCACTCGGATCAAAGGAAGTAGATAAAGTGCTTAGCACAGTGTGTGGCAGAGAGCAAACACATGTATACATCTACATCTACTTAGCTGCATTGATGGCCATATTGTCTTTATTGTGCTTGGCCCTCTGTTCAATTCTTATTGAAAAAATACTGCCTTACTCCCTCATTGGGATAGACTGAGGAGACCTTGTATGTAAACATATTTTCTTTGCCTAGACCTACAATAAGGATGATGGGTAGTTGAATTCAGGATTCTTTGACTTGGAATAGACTGTTGGTTGAGGATGGAATTGCAGTTGAGCACAAACAGGAGCTTTACTTTCTGGCTTATCTGAATCCATCTACATCTTAAAGCTTGGTGTAGACAAGTGACTTAGGTCATTGCATAATCTTGGGAGCTGTGAAATCAAGGAATTCCCTATATTTTGTCCCTGAAGGAAGAGTCAGATTTGAATCCTTTTGCTGGCTTCTCCACAGTCCCAAAGGAGCTCAAGTGGACAGATGACACAGGAATTATCCTTTAGGGGAGAAGTGATTCAAAGTTACTGATCTTATCATGGCCTTAATAAATTTCCAGCTTGCCAGGATGGCTGTTCCCACAATTTTCTGGAGAGAAAAATGCAGCCCTGAGGAAGCTCCGTTGTTTGGGGGCTCAATGAAAACCAATACCAGCTTTTTATTTTGAAAATATTTTTCAAAATTAGACATTTTCTGCAAATTATTCATGAGGTAAACAATTCAATGTAGTTTCTTAGGAATATCTGCAGTGTTGTTGATGTCTTAATCAGTATCATGGTCGTGCTAATGGCACCAGAAACGCCAGAAACTCTGAGTGGAGCCTGGTGTTTACTTTTCGAGGAGAACTGTTGAAACTTGTAACATTCTGGTTCACTGGTACATTCATCCAATCAAGATCTTTAGGAATGACACTAAAAAAGATTGACAGTTTAATAAGGAATTGGCATTGATTCTCAAGATCAAATTGAGTGCTGCTGTCATTCTTTTTCGATGCCAAAAGACTTAAAATCAACCCATGCCCCAAATTCATTTTAGAGGCCCGTTCTTCTCCTGCCAAAGGCTGTCCATCTTCCTTGATTTGGTGTTTTAGCCTCTGTCCATTTTCTCATTCAATCTGTCAGTGTCTAGCTTTATAACTGGGTGGGCCCTTTTCCATCTCCATTGAATCCCATTGAGAAAACTCAACCACATCACATTCCAGAATAAATGACCTTGTTTTCTGATTTCTGATTTACAGCCTCAGAATCCTTAACTTACTTCCAAACTGATACGATCTTGATCCTATCCTGATACTTTCTTCTCTTCTCTTTGAAGTATCTGGTCTAGTGCTAAATGTGGAATGGAACATGATAAGCTTAGTGTCTTTTATGAAGAATTTCTCCAGCTTTTTGGTCTCAGTTGTTGTTTAAGAGTCCTCTTTCTTTCTTAAATCTCAAGCCTTAAGCATACTTTCTAGGATGCAAGACTGAGTAACCTAGATCACTTTTCAGCTGTAGCCCAAGAATTTTGGCACTCTTTTTAAAAGACTATTGTATTATCTTCACCCTGTGACTTCACAATTTCTGTTTGTTATGCTATAATAATGCATGACCGGAATTGGAAAATGTTTACTTTGCATATAGTCTTTACCTTTCACTCTGCTTTATCGTGGATAAGCTCTCACCTCCTGTGAACCCCCATCTTCTTTATTTCGAAGTTTTCAAACTACATATACTCTTTTTTTTTTTTTTGAGACACAGTCTCGCTCTGTTGCCCAGGCTGGAGTTCAGTGGTGCCATCTTAGCTCGCTGCAACCTCTGCCTCCCGGGTTCAAGTGATTCTCCTTCCTCAGCCTCCTGAATAGCTGGGATTATAGGCGCCTGCCACCACGCCCAGCTAATTTTTGTATTTTTAGTAGACACAGGGCTTCGCCATGTTGACCAGCTGGTCTCAAACTCCTGACCTCAAGTGATCCACCCTCCTTGGTCTCCCAAACTGTTGGGATTACAGGCATGAGCCACCACGCCCAGCCAAACTACATATACTTATTTCTGAGAACTACAAACTGGTGACGAATTCTGCACTTTTCTTAGTGATTCTCCTCATATACTGTGAGAATGGTTATGTGTGTATTTAAATGTTTAGTTGTCTAGTGTAATAGAATTGATTGGACTTCATACTTGTTTTGTTACTAGTTAGTTACATGACCTGACTTGGGCTACTTCTTTTGCTTCTCTGAGGCTCTGTTTCCATGGCTATAAAATGAAGATAATGGTATTTACCCTCCTAGAATTATTCTGAGGTTACATTAGCATCATATTAGCAAATACCTGGGCCAGGTGATCAATAAGATTAGATCTATTCACCCATTTCCTTAATGTTGTATTCATGAGAAGCTCTAAGATGAAATAGACGATGGTAAGACAAACTCTAGGCAGTCTTTAGGGAATGAATTACTTTGTGAAATCTACTAACTCTTGATTACTTAGTTGAAAGAAAATAAAAACCAGACCAGATATTTTAGATATTTTCATGGAGTTTGCAAGCCATTTTGGATTGAGCTGTGCTACATGAATTAAAAATTTAAAGTAAAAAAAATTTTCAAATGTTTAGACAAAAAGCCAAACTGTACCATTTTGCAAGCCTGATTTTTTTTTTTAAAGGCCTACTAACTTACTGAAAGTTGGTTGGAATCCTTGTTTGGGAACACTCAGGTTCATTTCACAGGTATCTGCAAATTTTCATTACATGTGAAAAACAAGGGCTAGCAAAGCATTGCCAACATACTTCTTTTTTAAAAAGAAAATTCATCTCAAACCATCTTATACTACAGTATCTGCCTGCATCGTGCAAGGAAAATCACCCACTGAGACTGTCACTCAGAGTGTCATCTGCTCACCACCCAGTCTGATGATGCCAGGCATTCGTGCACTTGGTGAGCACACTGTTGCGAAGGGACTCAGCAGGGCTGGCATTTTGCTATCCATGACCTGGCTCAGATGCCAACAAAGGTTCATCTGGTCTACCAAGGAGCAGTTTGGGTGGGGCTTGATATGTATGCATTTGAGAAGACCTATTTATAAAAAAAAAAAAAAAAAAAAAAAAAGACAAAATTACAAAGGCAAAATTAAGTCTTAGACCTTGAAAAGGGCTTGAGCCATTGAAGGGCGCTGCAGCTTAGGTTTCAATGGCCTGACATAAATCTGGCCCTTCTGATAATCATCCTGAAACGTGCAAAAAGCTGAAATCCTAGAGACTGTGGGCAAGTTAAGTTTAAAGCTGGTAACATTTGATTGTCCCTCTTCTCCAGTGCCTGAGCAGTTGTCAGAAAACTGGGAATTGCAAAAGATGAATTCAAGAATGAACACCAAGATGTTTCTAATTATAATTTGTGTTTCATTACACTGTACAAAATGTCAATGCTAAAATCATGTTTAAGCTAATAAAAATACCAAGAATTACTACATAATTTGTTTTCTATGTGCAATTTATCATTCATCTGTACATGCATTTTAGTGCCATATATGGTCTTTTAAAATAACTTGCAAACTATGCATAGAATATTAGAATGTTGCACCATAAAGCATGATTTGGGGGGCTCATTGTTATTTCTAAGCTACTGGAAATGTCTTTGTAGAGGGTGGAGCATAATTTTCCTGTAAATTCTTATATTATCATAAATATCAGAGGGCTGATTTATAAAGTTTCTTTTCAGACGAGATCAGGCGTGTTCAGGGTGGTATGGCTGTAGATGTAAAGTTTCTTTTCAAACTCGGTTTAGAAATTTATTATTTGGCTAATTTAATCTTCTTGCTTAAATTGGTATGTCGGCTATCATCAAAATCTTTTGACTGCTTTTATAACTTAAATTGTATATTTCCCTTTTTTAACATTGCTTGCATACAGTCACATATGGATTCTGGCATGTGAAGACATAGGATTTTAGATATAGGATTTAGGGGTAACACTAATTTTTCTCTTTTACAGATTTTCATGATGGAACAATTTGCTAAATATCCTGAAACAGTTAATTTGGTCCTGGGGCAGCACAGGGTCCTGTTTTCTCTGAATGCCAAAATAAAGTTACCCTGTTTTTTCTTTTTGGTGTTTCTTTCTCTAGCCCTTCCCTTGCCTGGACCCTAAATAGCGGCTGTTCCAAACCCTGCACTCTCCTGTTTGGCTCACAGGCTGCCTGCTTACAACCATTGTAATGTACAATTAGCACTGAAGCACATGCAGATAATAAGAGAATCATCATAAAAGCACTAAACAGAGCAAATAACATTTCAGGCTGGATTTAATCCCAAATACCCGGTGTTCTGAAGCAAGGAGGCACAGAAACCCCGAAGCCAAGACAGCACTCCAGTTAGGTGTGGAGGATTGGAATTATATATAAATGGCATATATACACACTACCACAATGGTTGAATTCAGGCATTAATCAGGGCTGCATGCAGAGTGAGTAAATATTGTAAAATCAAAGCTTAAAAGGGCTTTTTTTAAGTATTTTTTTAAGTATGCTTTTTAGGTTTAACGTAGCATTCAGATAGTTCTCCTGGCCTAAGGATGACAAGAGAGACACTCGGATTATGTAGAAAGAGTAAAACCACCATGAGGATGAGACCCTGAGGTCTTGGACAGAGCTTTACACCGTGGACTGGAGTTACCATCTTGACTTTGGCATGGCCATTTACATCTCTGTGCATCACTTTTCTCATTTAAAAAAAAAAAACAAAAAACCTGTGACTAAAAGTACTTGCAGGTGTTTCCTGGGTTTTCAGTTAAAAACTTCATAGTGATAACTAAGAGTTAAGTGGTTACTCTGAAGTGCAACTGAGGTTTAGAGAGGTTAAGTCAGTTTCCCAAGTTTCACACCCCCAGAAAGAGCCTGAGTTTGAATCTGTTCAATCTGATTCCAATTTAAGAATGCTTTGCTCCCCCAGGAACCTGAACCGGTAGCTGCCCCAGCGCCCCTCCCCAACCACCCCCCGCACCCCGCCCCAGGTCTCCTCCTACCCCTGGCTTTCTTGAGGTTGTTACCGCAGAAGGGTGCCTTTCGTTAGGCCCTGGAAGCCCCTTGAGGTATTTCTGTTCTTCAGCCTCCCCTTCCCAGCTTCAAGAGAATAAGGTTGAGATTGTATGGTAGTCCAGGCTTGCAGATTAGATTGTTAGAAAGAGCAGGGGATTCTATGCATCAGAGGAGAGGGCTGAGCTTCCCCATGAAAATCTGAGCACCTATTTTCCTAGAGATCCAAGGGTACTTTAGAAGACATGCATGGCAGAGCTAGGGGCTGATATGTAATAAATAGATCTTAGATTTCCCTTCTCTTTCTTGTACGCTCTGTAAGGCAGCGTGCAGAGCCGAGAACCGATGATTTATTAATTACATTTTCCAGATGGAATGGCAGCCTAAGGGGTGGTTCTCTGCCTAAAATAGAACTGAAAATGCAGAGATGCTCAAGATCTGGTAACTGACCTTAATGCTTTCTTCATTGCAGCTAAGCTTAATTGCAGCTGCTGAGTTGGAGGGAACTGTTTCCTTTTTGGAGAGGTTGGTTTTACACTATGGATGAAATACCTCTTTATGAACAATCTCCAGCTTCAAAACTTTAATTTTTACAGAATTTAATCAGAAGTCTAAGTTATATTAGCAACTTACTATTGCATTTATATCACAAGGTCTTTCCAGTTAATTTTTAATAGAGTTCAGTAAGAGTGAGGTGAAGATGGAGTCCTTTGTTTTGGTAGAAAAAATGATTTGAAATTCTGCATGGTATTTGCCTAGAGGGACATTTTTGCCCAGACAGCTTCTTCCCACCTGTAAGCTGGATCTGACTTCAGCACATGGTGTTTTTACACCCAGAGTAAATGGGAATCTTACAAAGCCTAAGTGTGTGGTTTTTATTTTTATTTTTTTGGCATCATTTTAAATCTTCTAATAAAGCTTTTGAACTTCAGAAAACAAATCAGGGGTCTCCAAAGGATACTTGAAGTTATTATTTTTGTTTGCTCAACGTGAACATAGCTAATCCTCCAACATATCACATTGTGTGTGTTTTTTTTCCTCATGGCATTAGGGTATTACTCCTCAGCACAATATATACTTATCAGCTCTTTTTCCACTTTGCATGGTGTGTATTTTAATAGCAGAAAGGGATTTGCTGATGATTAAGAAGGAAAATGGTAGTAGAAAAATTCTTATTACATAAAATGATGCTTTGCTTACATAAAGAGGATTCTCTGGGGCTTAACTGGAAAAAAGACAAACAGGAGGTAAGTGGCCTAGATGTTTACAGGTTAAACATTCCATAAGTGGCTCTGAAATCAACCCTTCCCTGGAAGCTTCAGCAGCCTTGAGGTGGCTAATTGCTGGAGCATTGAAACCATTTGAGCGACTTCATTTTCCCCCGGGATCGACACTCACAACAGGATAATGCTTACCCTGATAGAAGTGTCACAGTGGGGACTCGGCATAATTTGCTGATATGATATCAAAAATAGCATTAATGTAATTACATTTCACACTTGTAATATTTCACAGGCAATAATACAGTAGAAAATTACATTTTTTTGGTAACCTGGTCATTTAAAACTTCTTTTTAATGGAGCTGCAATGAAGCTGATGTATTTGATGGGTTGTTTTTCTTAAATGTGCGCTCAATTTATAAATGCATAAATGCAGTCATTAGTCCAACCATTTGACGAGGGTTAAAAGACTGAGAACTGTTTCAATGGGTATCAGAAAAGGTGTCTTTTTTAATTGCAGTAGCAAAGTCATGAGGAAGGATAAGAACCTCCTTGGCAGGGGCAGCTCGTTGTAGTGGAAACACTGCCTTGAGAGCCAAAGACTTGAGATCGAGGCTCCCTTGTCCCACCCTTGCTGTGTGACCTCACGCAAGTTATTCAAACTCTGAGCTACTGCTTCCAAGAATAGTGCTGAATAGACTGATCTCTTGCAGGCCATCCCATCTATATATAAACTTAAAATAAAATCCTGAGCACCCCCTACTGACTGAATGGACCCCCTTGTGGTCAATGGGACCCCAGCAAAACCTTAACACTGAGTTCCTAGCTGTGTCAGGCGGCAAATACACATTATTATACCCTGTCCTTTTTGGAGTTTAGACACAATAACTGACCAGCATTAATGTTAAAATAGAGATCCTAAGATGGAACAGACTCTTTGTGGCAATAAAATACCAAATCATAAACAGGATCTAAGGCTATGGCAGACAAGGTTTAAGTCACACATCAGCCCCAACCCCAACAATTAAGAATAAGCTATGTTCTACCTGCTGCAAGGGTTTTCTTTTTCTCAGCAGCTAAACAAGCACTGGCCTTGAGATTAGCAATATTAAAATAATTCAAATTCATCCAGCTCATAGACACTGACTCACTGAATCCCTGTTCCACCAGCCAGAACTACAGCTTTGATTGGACAAGAGACTGACTTCGGTAACATTCCTCCAGATAAGACCACCAACCATGGACTGGTTCTGGCTTGTTTACGGAGGCTGCACACTTGCATGCCTTTGTGTTCTGAAAAGACCCTTTGATGAATAGGGCCCAACTGTAGTACATTTAAATGTTAAGTCTCCACCCCAAAGGAAACATGCTACATACATGTTTGTTCAGTATGCATGTGTTAGAACGTTCATGAATATTCATGGATTCTCCTGTAACCTGTTGAATGTGTATGTTTAGCCAACCTAGTCAGAATAAAGCTCCTACCCTTATCCCTCCTCCTTTGAAGTGCCTGTCTCTGGTCTTGACCAAAGGCTGTGCTTCCCAGCCTGCAGGATGGCCACCTTGTAGGCTGTAACCCTTTATAAAAAATAAATTCTCCTTCTCCTTTTCTAAATGTATGGATTTTTTTTTTTTTTTGACAGAATCTCACTCTGTCACCTAAGCTGGAGTGCAGTGGCGTGATCTCGGCTCACTGCAACCTCTGCCGCCTGGGTTCAAGCAATTCTTCTGCCTCAGCCTCCTGAGTAGCTGGGATTACAGGTGCCCACCACCACGCCCAGCTAATTTTTGTATTTTTAATAGAGACAGGGTTTCACCATGTTGGCCATGCTGGTCTTGAACTCCTGACCTCAAGTGACCCCCCAGCTTCATCCTCCCAGAGTGCTGGGATTATAGGTATGAGCCACCATGCTCGGCTGAGATGTTGGTTTTTTTTTTTTTTAGTTAATATATCATTCCAGCAAGAATTCCAAATTTTAGCTTTGCTAAACATTTTTATTGTCATTTTAAAAAATCCTAGATTTTATTTCACCACTGACGTAAATTTTCTTTTCACCAAGGGAGCATCATAAGCCTCTGAAAATTGAGGCTTACACTGTATTTTCTTATTGGAATTTCACCAATGTGTTCTGGTGAAAAATGTTACTGGTTTAATTTCACCATAGAAACTCTCATGTTTCTGTTGTGCCAGATGGACTTGGTGAGGAATCTCAAATACTGGCACTTTCTTAAACCACTCATTTCACAAGTTTCTCTTCCATGCATCTATTTGGCAGATCTTCACTGAGCAACTACTACGTGTGGACACTGTGCTAGGCTCTGAGCATACAATAGTACATAAGAACAAGCTGAATCACAACAGCGCATTTTTAATTGCAAAGAACAGAAATCCACTCATTAAAGCTAATTTAAGCAATGGGGAATTTATTATAAGCACACTAGAACATTTCCCACAAGCCATAGGTAGGAAGTGGAGCTGGGTGTTTGCAGGGACTGGAACAAAGGGCTCAGGAGCTTTGAGGACTACAGGCAACTCTTTCTTCCACCTCGCTTGTTATTCCTCCCTGAGGCTACTCGTCTCGCATCCAGGCTGCACATTTCCTTCATTCTTGTCTTTATAGGACATCTCCTCTGCACACTCATCTACTTGCACACAGGTTCCAATGCTAGCCCATGTGACAACTTCGTGCAAATTAGAAGAAGGTGTTCACTCCAGGGCACACAGTTTGGCAAGCTGAGTTTCCAGGCTCACTTACTTCTCAGTTGGATGCCCTTGTACATGGCGGTCCTGCTTGCACATGGCCTTCTTCTGGCAACCCCAAAATGGTGTCCTCAGCCTCCAATTCCACATGACCTTCCAGCTAGGCTCCCCACAGGTAAATGACTACATCTTCATTACTCAAAATCAGTTTCCTCAGAGACAGAAGTTAATTAGGCCAGGTGTCCATCTTTCATCCAATCAAATGAGCCTGGGGTGAGCCAGGAGCAGACCCATGATAAACAGCGCTCTGGAAGGAGACTCTAGGAACCATACCTCTGCTGGGCTAGGGCAGTGTCCCTAGAGGGGAGACACTGCAGGGGATGCATGGCATCTGAATTAGATGGAACCGAGTCCTGGTCTTGCACATGAAACACTCAGACCCAGTGGGCTTGGAAAAGCAAAACGTTGGATGTTGATGACAGCTGTGCTTTATCCAGTGTCAGGGAATTTTAGGGTCTTCTGTGGTTTTGATTTTCCACATCCTGCTCCTCTAATCTCATTTGAGACTGAGACGCCTGCCTTGGGCATTTCATAACTATCTTCTTTCCATATATAGCAGTTCCCACTGGGTCACCAAGACACAAGGAAGCAGGGGCACAAGTCACAGGGAAAGGAAGCTGTGTCCATTGAAATACAACCTTCAAAAACCTCCACCTTGCACCCCAGCATCCTTTAAATATGGGAGAAGCTCCAGTCAAATGTGCCAGCATCCATCAGGGTCTCCTTTTCCTCCTGTCAGCTGCAAGGCTTCTAGATCTTTTCAAAGGCCCCTTTGAGCTGCTCCCTTGAAAATACCTCTGAGAAAATTCAACCTAGAAAGTACTATCTCATTATACAGTGAGTTGTGGGAGAGCATATTGCAAAACATCTGATATTTTTATCTAAAAAAAAATCTAAGAAATAATAAAACAAAGGAAAAAGAAATGGTTGAATCATGTAGACTGTCCTTATTAAGCATTTGGCTTGGGTGAAGGTGGCACAGTGAGTTCGTGTTTTGACTCAATATCTTTGCTTCAAACATACAGAGGTGAGAGATTAAATGTTAAAGTAGAAAACCAAAAAGGTATAAGAGGCATGGCTCAGGAATAAGGTAAGTCCACGGACCAGAAATGCAACACGAATGGGGCTTCATCATTGGGTCTGTTGATTCTGGGTCTAGAAGCTCACAATGATCACTAGGAGATCCACCTCTGAGGGATCTCAGCAATTAACAGTGCTCACCAGACCAAGATTAACAGTGCTCACCAGGCCACACTCACTGCTTAAAGCTGGGAGCTGGAGTGTAGCTCCCTTAGTTGTGAAAGGAGACTGAAAAGTGCTGATCACTACCTGGGGCTATGGCAGAGTTTCTTACCCTAAGGGCTGTTGACACATTGGGCCAGATAATTCTGTGTAGTAGAGTTGTTCTATGCATTGTAGAATGTTTAGCGCTGTTCCTGGCCTCTACCCATTAAATGCCAGTAACAACAACCCACCTCCTCCAGTTGTGACAACCAAAAGTATCTACAGACATTGCCCAGTGTCCCTTGTGGAAAAATTCAGAATTGCTGGGCTATGACTGTAAGAATGATGGGAACCTATAGAGGCTGGAGAACCCAGAGCTTCTTGAGTAAGAATTCAACTAAATTGGCCACTGCCTCATGATTGGATCTATGATTTTCCCAACAATACATGGGACAGGAGCCCTGAAATGCCATTAGAAGATCTGATTGGGGGTCATCTTCGTGGAGGTAATTGCAAAGCTGTCAAATAAGGAAGTCAAGCAAGCAATAAAAGGTAAAATAAACCAACAAATGAAATAAGAACCAATTAGAAACCTTGAAAATAAAAAATATAGCCACCAAACCAGAAAAGCAATAGTATAAACTTTAGAGTATATGTAGTTGGAGAAAGAATTAGTGAACTGGAAGATAGCACTGAGTTAACATGTGCTTTAGTTAGTAGCATGCAGCACTAACAGAGAGGACATTTTAAAAAACAAAACAATTATTTTTTTTAAGTTAAGAGATATAATATATAGATCAAGAACTCCAATGTAAGAAATAGCAGAGAAACAGTATCTGACAAGAAACTGAAGAAAGGCGTGATCACCTTATGTATAGTGTATGCTGAGTTCCAAGCAGTACACACAAAGAAAAATTCACAGCTAAACACATCATAGTAAAACTGTAATACATAAAGTATAATTTCTTATGGGCAACAGTAAAGGCCAAAGACATTGAAGGAATATGTTCAAAGTGTTGAAAAATATAACCATCAACCTATAATTTTTCCACCCCACTAAACTATTATTCTAGAGCAGGGGCCTGCAAACTTTTTCTTAAAGGGCCAGAGAGTAAATATTTTAGGCTTCAAGGCAATATGACCATTTTTGCCCACTAAGATTTATGTCACATTTGGGAGGAAGATAGAAATAATGAGCAATTTGGGACTTTGTTGTACAAATGTAGAATTAAGTAAGTTGGTTAAAATACTAAGAATGGCAGAATGTGGTGGCTCACATCTGTAATCTCAGCACTGTGGGAGGAAGCAGGAAGATAGCTTGAGCTCAGGAGTTTGAGACCAACCTGGGCAACATAGTGAGACCATGGCTCTACCAAAACTTTTTTAAAAAATTAGCTCGAAGTAGTGGCATGTAGGTGTAGCCCCAGCTTCTCAGGAGGCTGAGGAAGGAGGATTGCTTGAGCCCAGGAGGTCAAAGCTACAGTGAGCCGTGATCACACCACTGCACTCCAGCCTGGGCAACAGAGCAAGATGCTGTCTCATTTTTTTGAGACAAAAAAAAAAAAAAGATTAAGGATGGCCATTAGAAGACTAGAAATACACTCTATACCTTCCAAACTAACAATGTAACAAGAAAAATTATAGAAAACTTTGTCAATCTAAAAGAAGCCAGAAAATGAGGGGAAAGAAGTCAAGAAGTGGATAACCAACAGAAACACACAAAATAAGATGGCAGAAATAATTCAGTATCTCAAGAAATATAACTAATCAATTAAATGACAGAGACTATCAAATTGAATCAAAGCAAACTAAAAAATAAAATGTGACAAAGTCCAGCTAGATATTGGCCCAGAACTCTCCTAAAGGGCTGTCTACCACAATTGCATTAGAAGTGAAAGACCTTCAGATTATTCCGCTGCTCCACCTAATGTCTGGTTCCTACAGAAGATTTAGTACCTTGTGGTTAAATAAATTTACTTAGTCCCTTCCATGAACTGATAGCTTAAATGTGAGTGAATTGGTCTGAAAGATTTCCAAGGTCTTTTTAACTCTAAAATGCCAAGATACAGTGATTCCCCTGGATAGGCAGAGCTTTGTGCCCGCATTCAGGAGCATCAAGGACACTACGGTTACCACTGACCGTGTGATGGAGGCTGGCCTTGGCACTTGGGCAGTGAGCATTTGCAGTGCAATCTCGGTTTGCATGTTGTCATTGGCCTGTGTTAAGGAGCCTTTGCAGATGGACAGACGCTTGTGATTGCCATCGCGTATGGGCAACATGGAGATTGGCCTGTAAGAGGCAGGAGAGGGCTTTTTGCTCCTAATGTGTTATGAAAGTTTGATCAGAGTGGGAATTTTCTGTCATGGGTGATTAGTATCATCTCCTATTAATATTTACTTTCCCTAATTCAGTATGAAAAGTGCCAACGTAAAAACACTTTGCTGTGAAAGGGAAAGAGGATGCAGAATGATGCCACATGCAGGTTCTAGTGTCTCCTTTCTTTAAGATGAGTGGCTCCTCCCAACCCCACTGCCACCCCGTTTATTCTTTTCCATGAGAGTTTAGCCTCCTTTTTTCCCACCCTCACAATAATTCCTGAATTCATTGAGCTATCTATCCCAAGTCAGGGAGGAATGTCAGAGTTCCTCCATGAGTCCAATCACAAATACATAATAATAATAACAACAGTAATAACATTGATACATAACTATTGTGTATGGAGTGCTTACTGTGTGTCAGGCATTGGGCTAAGTTCTTTATGGCTATTAATTCATTAAATTCCCTCCAACAGCCCTAGTGTCCCATATTACATATGTGGAAGCTAAGGCTTAGAGGGATTGTGGCTTGCCTGAGTTCCCACAGCCAGTAAGCAGCCGTGTAGGGCTCTAACTCAGTGGGTGGGACTGGGATTCAACTATGTGGAACAATGTCACCCATGCTGTGGAGGAGAAGACCATAACTTTTCTTTTTTTGAGGATCTCTTAGGCTCTCAACCAGAATTTCTCAGTCTTGGCCCTATTGACATTTTGGGCTGGAGAAGTCTTTGTTATGGGGCTTGTCCTGTGCATTGTAGGATGTTTACCCGCATCTTTGGTCTCTATCCATTAGATGCCAGTAGCAGCCCTACTCCTCACCTCCAAGTTGTGAAAATTAAAACTGTCTCCAGAAATGTCCAAGTGTCCCTAGGGGGCAGAATCACCCCTGCTTAAGAACCACTGCTGCAGACCAAGTTCTTCAACCC
The DNA here is from genome assembly GCF_000001405.40 of Homo sapiens. NCBI lineage: Eukaryota > Metazoa > Chordata > Mammalia > Primates > Hominidae > Homo > Homo sapiens. The sequence goes on along the minus strand of NC_000011.10, from coordinate 32,154,464 downwards.
TCTGCCGCAGTGTCACATGGGAAGGAAGCCCTACTTCTTTCCTGCCCTCACACATTTGACAGGAGCTGCTGTTTGCAGAGATGGGAGTAGTTCTGAGTTTTGTTTCAGGTGAGAGGGAGTTTCCTGAACTCTGAGCTTCTGCTGTCTTAAAGGTACCTGGGCTTCCACTAGTCCAGTAAAAATGCAAGACTCCTTTGAGTCTCATGGCAGTCACATTGGGTGGCTTGCCCAGCTCCTGTTCCCTGGGAATGGCTCAGTGTGCTCAGGGGGCAGCCATGTGTCTAGCCAGAGCTGATGGGCCCAGGGTAGATTCTTAGTCCACTTGGGGCAATGAGTTCTGTCTCCCAGGAAGCTGAAAGTGGGACCAGGTTGAGTCTCTCTTGGTGGCTATGACTGTGACCTGCAAATGTGGCAGCTCCATTGACCTTCTTCCTGCCCTGTACACTAGCTGATATAGAGAAATTGTTCTCAAATTTGGTGCCCAGATCAGTAGCAGTAGCATCACTGGGAGCTGGTCAGAAACACACATTCTCAGTTCCCACCCAGACTTACAGATTCAGAAACTTGGAGGAGGTGTCCAGCGACCTGCAGGTTACCAAGCCCTCTGGGGGATTCTGATGTTCACTAAGGTTGGCACAGAGGGTGAGAGAGACTCAAGGAAATATGATCTATGGAATAGAGAGAGGAAACTCCTGTTGAAGAGATAACTTCCCAGTTCCCAGTTCCAGCTCTTCCTGCTTCCCAGCCACATTCCTGTCCTTCGGTTTAGTGAGATGCTTTTATGTTCTAACTACAAAATCTACCTCTGACTTTCCCCCTGCCCTTAAGTTGACTGAAGTCAGTTTCTGTTGCTTGCAACTGAAAAATTCTTACTCATTCATGTCACAATACAATTCACGTGGAGAAGAAATTATATGGAGCAATGTCACCCCAGCTGCTCAGGAAAATACTGTAATTTTATCAAGGGCTCTTGGAAATATTTAAAAGCTCCAGAGAAAATACCCCATGTTTATTTTCTTATTATCAAGAGCAAGAATTGTGTATTTGTGTGTCTATTTAAGGAAGCTTATGTACTGACTGCCCCTACCCCTTATCTCTCTTTGTATTTTTTATTCTTCAGTGCTAAAGGCTTGGTATTTTCTTGACTCTGCCCTCACTTTTTTCTCCCAGGTTAAACCTGGAATTAAGATAGATCTCAATCAGCCAACAAATATTTATTCAATGCCCACAATGTGGCATGTGTTTGGAGGGTCGGTTGGTCATGATTCCTACATAGTCTCTCCTCAAAAGAATGATAGCTTTGTAGGAGAGAATGCAATTATCCTACTCCTGTGACAGTAAGACACACAGTGTGATAAGTCCAGGATTAGGTCTGTGTTTAGGGTTCAGAGGAAACCCAGAAGAGAGAATGAGCCGCCAGGAAGGGGGAAGTTCTGGGAAAAGAGGAAGGAAGGGTGGTAATCAGAGAAAGCTTCCTAAAGGAAGTTCCACCTAAATTAGACCTGGAACTATGACTAAATGTCTACCAGGCAGAAAAGGCAAGGGAAGGAGAATGTTCAATTTGTGGTTCACAAGCACCGGAGAGAAGAATTTGATGCTTTATTGCTTATCTGCTTCTTGATCTGGCTGACTTGGAGGGCTACAGTATCATATACACACTGAAAATAAGGTAAGGACTTTTTAAAATTTCTCAAAGCCTCCAGAAACTATCTTTTATAGCACTGGCAGCGCCTCTTTTTGGACATAATTTATTAGCTGGACTTTCAGTGTGACATGGCTGAACATCACTGGCCTTTAAAGTCATCCTTGTAAGGAGAATAGGCTGTCTGTTGGTTTATCTCAACTAGAAGAAAAATAAAGAGTATGAAGAGGAAAAAATTCCCTATTAAGTTTTATAATTATAATATGAAAATTCAGTTAATTTCTTTTATCGTAGTGAGTCATTAAAGACTGAAGTAGGTTCCCAGCCTTTTGTTTCCAGAACAATCCCCCAGAGGCTGAGCGCTCTGTCATTCGAATGGGCCTGATTAAAGCAAGGAGCCGCTATCTTCAGATTACTGCTCTTTGTCATTACCATTACGTTATCTTGCTCTTCAGACTGATTTTTAATTTTTATGTTTGCAATTATAAATGATTTACAGGGACATTCATCGCCCGACCTGTCCTGAGTCATTAAATTCACCTAGGTTGAATAGCCCGATGTGCACCTGAAATTAACCAAATCGGTGACATTATCTTGCTGGATTTTTCAGAGGCTTTAGAAATAGGGAAGTGACTCCATTCTCCCTCTCAACTCCTCTCCTTAATGGGAAAATATTTTTAATTGATAAAAGAGGTAATTAGGCAAGGCTAAGAGGTACGCACTAATTATGCAGTATATCTCACATAGTTTGGCCACGGTTTTTGGAATAGAAGTGTAGAAGGAAAGTGATTCAAATACAGACTTGGCTTGTAGTCACATGGGGCTAGTTTGAGTGTGTTTTATCCTCAATCAAGTTTAGGAAGAGAACTGTGAGGATTTTTATTGAGCACCTACTATGTGTCAGGAAGATAACTCTCCCAATGGTCTTTTTGCCCCCTCAGTGTTTTGTGTTGCATTGTTCTGACATAAGGAATGGAAACTTCCTCAGGCTGGCTCAGATGAAATGGAGACTGTGATCTCACACAAGCTAAGGAAGAAGGAACCAATAGCAGGCTCTTTCATGCTCTTTCTCTGTTGTTCAGGAGCCACGTTACTGTTCTCATTCTGCTTTTCTCTCTCTGGCATCTGTTTTCCTCCCAGCTCTCTTTTTTCTTCACTGGCTTCCTCTACTCATTTGTTTTGTGCTTGAACCCAAATAGCCCTTCCAACCCCCTTCACCCAGGCCCTTGCACCTGAAGTGTCTGCCACTGGCTGGTGGACTCTCCACTCCTTAGTTGACATTCCCTATACAATGTCAGTGGTTTCTTATCGGCCAGTGGGTTTTCTACCCTCGAGTCAGGAATATGTCCCTTCTTTTCTGTGGCCAGAAGGGACAGGAATTGTGGGTAGAACAAGTAGAATGGGGATAATAATATCTGTTTGGTGCATCTTTAAAAGAGGTATGATTTTCCCATTTTACAGAGGAGGAAACTGAGGCTAATGGAGGTTAAGTTACTTGTTAGAGGACAGCTCACAGGTGTCAGAGACAGGAATTAGGGACAAGGTAAGACAGACTCCATCCTCTTGCTTCCACTTGATGTGCTGACTCTGCAACATCCATGCTATTTGTTGCACAAGATGTGTGAACAGGGGACACTCAACAGCCAGGCTGAATGCTGGTTAATGTGGTTGGAGACCCAGTGACTCTTTGGGCAGTGTAGACAACACTAGCTTCTGCCCCATTTCCATATCTTTTTCTGTGTCTGTCCAGGGACATTGAAATAGCACATGCTGCCCTCCAAAAATCAGAGATGAAAGGGAAGATATGTTGCTTCATTTGAGCTTTGGAAAGCATCCAAAGAAAATCTGGTTGAAGGGTCATAAAAATATTTTTAAGGCTTTGACAGTGAGGTACGCTAAGTGAGGGCACCTGAAATTAAACCTTTCCTCCCTGTCGGAGGATGGAGACCTGTGCCTCCCTCTACCAGCTCTAGTATTTACTAGCTGTATGACTTTGGGCAAATTACTTAACTGTCCTGATCGTCTGTTTCTTCATCTGTAAAATGAGGATGATATAGTTTCAAAATTAGACCAAGCAGTGTGTACCAACAAGGACAGGCCCTTAGAAACAGCAGTCATCTTACGACTGTTCATTCTCCCTTTTTCCCTTTGCAGAGCCCGGCCCCTTCATAATGGTAGCCTTGGAGTTAGCTATTACTCTGGGTCTGAGACTCCCCTGGAAAATCCTACTGATCAAGGGATTCTAGCTTTCATTTTTCCAGCATCCCTTTCCTCTGTAAGGACCAAGGGAAACTTCCCCTTCACCCTCTGAAGGTTTGGAAAAAATCAACTAAAAAAAGACAGATTAATTGGGAAAAAAAAGCATATAAACTTACTTAACGGGTGCATGGGGAAAATCACAGTGATTGCCTGTCCTTCAACAGGGTTCAGAAACTTATATGCCTTCCTGGCAACACAGGTTATGAGAGGTGGGAGGAGAAGAGGGGCAATAAAGGATTATTATGGAGAATGAGTGGATCCCTAGTAATCCACTCATTAGTGGAACAGAAACTCACTTGTAAATAGTTGTCTTTGACAGTGAAAGGGTCTGTTTAGGTGTGGTTATGTTCTTGGTATTTCAGGGAGGGGAAAAAAAAACAATTGTTCTCCTTGATAGGTCTGGATCCTAGGGAGATAAAGGAACTTCAGCTTCTTTGGGAGAGATTATGAGGTTCGGGGGGAAGGTCAGAGAGACCTTGAAGCTTCTTCAGTTGATTATGTCAAAGTATCATATTTTGGGGGTTTTGTTTCTGATCCCCAACACCTCCTTTACATAAAACAGCACCCTCTTACTTGGAGGGCAGTGCCGTTTTCTTTCAGTGTGGTCCTGATGAGGCTGCCAATTCAGTACCACCCCTGGCCTGGGGAATGATAAACGCCATCTGCCTGGCCTCCCTGATTGGGCCAGAGATGGGGACATGACTGAAGGTGTTACCCGAAAAATACCAGGTGGCAGACTCATGACCAGGTGGGAGCGTACTGAGGCCCTTCTCCTATTTCCCTTTCGGCAACACACCTGTTAGCCTGAGCGTGTTTCCTCAGCTCACTGCCTCACCTGTTAGCAGCCGATAAGGGAGGTTGAGTTGGAGCTCAGTCTACAGTTCCACCTGGCTTTGTCCCACCTGGCTTTACCAGATTTGTTACCCGAAAAATACCAGGGTTTCTTACCTGGTGAATAACAAACAACTCCCCACGAGAACACAGGTTTTGATCTATAGGAGTTTTATTTCTTGGCACAAGTAAGGATGACACTGGGAGTATTCTCCAAAGCAGCATCTCTCTGAGGGAAAGTGACAGTAGGGCTTTATGGGGTGGTGGAGAGGGAAGACGGGGGTCATTGCATGTCGAGGAGGGGTCCTAGTTGCGTAGATGCAGAGAGTCATCATGTCAACACGTAGGTTGCATGTTATGGTAATGAAGCTACAGCTCCACCTAGGGTGGAGACTTTAGCGTGGTCATGAGAAAGTTCACTCGAGTTCATCTATGTTGCTGTGTTGCTGCTCCGTTGGGGAGCTGGTTTAAACCAACAAGGTGACTGCATTCCACCCAGGGTTTGGGGAAGAACAGGCTGCAGGGCAGGAGGCGGTAAACCAAGCTGATGGGTGGTTGATTAAATTCCTGTTATTCCTGGAGACCCTCCCTGTCTGCTTATAAATCTTTCCCCTACAGATCTTCCCGAGTTGAGATCTTCCCCCTAGAGATATGTCATCCTCATTCTTCAGGGGTCTGAGTCAGAGGTCATTCTTCTGTAACTTCCTCATGCTGACCAGTGCTGCCTGTAACAACTGTAATATTTCTTTTGGATGCTTAATCTACTTATTGCCTGCAGTCAGGAGGCCTCTTTCTTTCCAAATTGCCCCATGGGCGTGGAGTACATAGAAGGCATAAATGACATGGTTTGGCTGTGTCCCCACCCAAATCTCATCTTGAACTGTAGTTCCCATAATTCCCATCTGTCATGGGAGGGATCCAGTGGGAGGCAATTGAATCTTGGAGACGGTTGCCTCCATGCTGTTCTCATGATAGTGGGTGAGTTCTCATGAGATCTGATGGTTTTATAAGGGGATTTACCCCTCTTCACTCTGCACTTATCCTTGCTGCTGCCATGTGAAGAAGGATGTGTTTGCTTCCCTTTCTGCCATGATTGTAAGTTTCCTTAGGCCTTCCCAGCCTTGTGGAACTGTGAGTGTCAATTAAATCTCTTTTCTTTATAAATTACTCAGTCTCAGGTATGTCCTTATAGCAGCGTGAGAACGGGCTAATACACTTAGAGTCTGTGTAGAGAGTGATGGCCTTGCCTAGCCCTAAGGACAAGGCTTCGGTCAGGCTGAGATAATAATCTCAGCCTTCTGGGCCAATGTCCTGGGAGGTAGGCTGTTAGCCTGCTTAAGCCCAAGTAAGCACACCACTGCACACACTGCTTTTTGCTGGCCCATTGTTATGAAACTACTCCTGTCTACAAACCAGACCTCTTAGAGTTCTGAAGGGGTTCGCTTTCTATGTTTTCCCTATGTTTTCTCTGTGTTTCCCAGGCTGGTCTCAAACCCCTGGGCTCAAGTGATCCTCCCGTTTTGGCCTCCCAAAGTACTAGGATTACAGGTGTGAGCTTCTGCACTCAGCACCCTTTTCTAAATATAAATATCTCAAGTATTTACTTAACACACTACCCAAAATAGTGGGAGAGTTCTTGAATCCCTGAGGCAAGGCTGTCCAGCAATATTGTTGCCTTTGATGGGACTCAGCATCTTCCCATTCAAAGGCAGACAACTCCTGGGATTCTGGGCTCAGGAGGACACAGAAAAAGGTGTCCTGAAGATCTAGCATGGTATACAATTTGCTTTCTCCTGGAAGGTTAATCATAATGTTATAAGGATTGGGTACAACTGGGTGAATATCTTGAACAAACCAATATTCTTGAACAAACCAGTATTCTTCAGTTCTTGGCTTTTTGACTGGCAAGATATAGGGAAACTGACAAACATAGATTACACCTTGCTCCAGGAGGTGATGGAGCACCAGTAGAATTCTTCTCAGTGCCTCAGACCTCACTGGGTATTGCTTAGCCCTGCGTCTCAGTTCTGGTTCCTTCAATCGTACTGATGCCACTGGCCTAGCCGTTTTTGCTCCTCTGACCTCTTCCTGAGCTTACACCACAGGGTTAACTTGGCTCTCAATTTCTAAAGGAATCTCCTCTGTGTCCAGAACTTCCCCATGAACCAGGGCCAACATGGTGGCACCATGGGCCCAGAGAAACTCCACCATATCCTGTCCTGATTTAGAGCAATTATAGCCCCAAACTTAGTCAGAAGGACCTTTCCCAAAAGGAGAATGGGGCATTGAGGGACACAGAGGAAGAAATGAGTCAAAGACTTAGATCCCCTTCACAGACCAGAGGCTCCAGGAATCTTAGAATTTCTTTTAGCAGACATACTTTTATATTATATTCCCTCTTGGAGAGGGGTCCCCTTTTAGTGAGACATAGAAAATGTAGCCCCAGTGTCAAGAACTCAACTGGCTGTCCCCCTACTTCTAGGGTTACCCAGGGATTCTTGAGGGAGATGTGGATCTTGATGATCCAGGCGGGGAGCCCCAGGACCCTGTTAGTCAGTTTTCTCTCCATTTACAGGGAACTGGTGCTTGGGTTTGTCCTCTTTCTTCCCCCTCCGGGGAGGATCTGGACACTTCCTTTTCCAGTGTCCCTCCTGCTTGCAGTAAGCACATTGTGTGGGTCCCAGCTTAGGCACCCTCTGAGTCCCATGGCGGGGTCTCTGCTTACTTATCCATGCTTTCTTCTTCCTTCCTCCTGGTTCACCTGAAGTAGTCTGTAGGGCTACTGCCAGAAAATGAGCCTGTCTCTCCATCTTCTTGTCCTCCCTTTTGTCAGATGCCACATCTCTATTTTTGTTGATCTTGAAGGCAATGTCTATCAGTTGGGAAGGGAGAGTGCCTGGATTTATCACCAGTTTTGGAGTTTCCTCTGAATATCTAGGGTACTCTGAGAGATGAATTGGGAACCAAGCACTACTCAGCTTTTCAGGGTCCTCTGGTTTCCAAAGGGTGTAATCCTGGAGCCATTCTCGTAGTATCTTTAGGAATACTGATGGATTTTCATTAGGGCCTTGTTCTATTTCCCAGAGTTTCCCCAATTGACCAGGGGCTGGCTAATGTAAGCAGCATATTCCTATAATAATCTAGCTGCTTTTGATCCCTATTACCACTGGGACTCGGTGAGGATTGGCTCTTGGGAATGACACTTTAGCAGCCCAGTAGATTTTGTGACCATGGTTATCAGCACACATCTTGTCTGCCTCCTCCTTGGCTTTGGCTATGATGGCAGATTTCCCTTCTCCCATGCAGGGTTGCCATTAAGGTCTGCATGTCTGGCCACTTGGGGTTATGTGTGGAGAATATTCCACTTATGAGAATTATGAACTCTTCTGGGCTCACCCGTAAGACCTTAGTATGGAATTTCCAGTTATACAAGTCAGCAGTTGTAAAAGGCACACAGACCCAAGCAAAACCTGTATGTCCATCAGGCACCTGCCTGAGGGGGAACAGCCCCCTTTAGGGTTATATGTATTCCCACTATGAGTGGTGCTCCCAGACAGGGAGGGGTAAAATGGAGGAGGGCTGCTCTTGCCATAGTAGGAGCTACAGTCAACTCCTCAGAGTTTGGAGGGCCCAGCAAGTGATTCGGTTTGGCTGTGTCCCCACCCAAATCTCATCTTGAATTGAAGTTCTCATAATTCCCATGTGTTGTAGGAGGGACCCACTGGGAGATAATTGAATCATGAGAGTGGTTTCCCCCATACTGTTCTCATGGTAGCAAATAAGTCTCATGAGATCTGATGGCTTTATAAGGGGTTGCCCCTTTTGCCTGACTCTCATATTCTCTGTCCTGCCTGTGCCATGTAAAATGTGCCTTTTGCCTTCCACCATGATTGTGATGCCTCTCCAGCCATGTGGAACTGTGTGTCCATTAAACCTCTTTTTCTTTATAAACTACTGAGTCTGGGGTATGTCTTTATCAGCAGCGTGAGAACAGATTAATACAGCAAGTATGGAGGAGGATGCTTGCTTTCCTGTGGAGCCACTGAGCATTCAATTCCTGAGGAAGAAGGGGGACTATTTCTTCTCTCTATTGGCAAAAGTTCCAGTCCTTGAGTGGGGTTAGAGGGCCTCGCTTCTTCTCTTGGAGGGAAGTAGAGACATTCCTTCTTCCTGTTACCTTCCCTACAGGTCCCCACATGACTGTTTTTTCCTCTCCAGGGGTGCCTAGAATTGGCAACATAGTTCTCTTTGGCCCTTTGGCCAATTTCCATGCCTCATATTTCTTCTGCAGGGCTGGGTTTATATAGAAGGCCATAAACATTGTACAAAGGGCATTTCATCCTACTTGCCTTGTTTCTTGCAAAATAAATCCGATTGGAAAATTACATCATAAGTGAGCGATCCATGTTCAGCCCATCTCTCCTAATCTCTTAGGGAGTAGTGGGGCCATGCTGCATTACATTAATATATCATTTGCATTTTGGTCATGGGTAGATACCCAAACAGTTTCCAATGTCAGAGGAAGTACCTTAGTGGGCTCTCTTTAGGTATTGAGACCTGGTTCCCCATATTCTAGGGTCTTTGCAAAGAGTCTGATTCCACGCTCCAAGATACTTCTATTGAGGGTTAGTGGTGACACAAATCCTGCAACTTTTAGCCCGCAGAATATTTCTGCCTTCCTTGCTTGCTACCACACCTAGGCCACCCTAGAGTAGAGGTCCCGGGAAGCTATGAGAGGATAACAGGGATTGCCTCTTCCTGGACTGTTTGGTCTGGGAGGCTTCCCAGGAGATCTCACAAAGCCACTGGAGTAGTTCTGGGCTGGGCTTGCATGGTGGGGAGGTAGGTAAATCAATCAGGTAAGCGAGATATTCCCTCAGGAGAAGGCACACACACTGTCTCTCTCTGTTCACCTATCCTTTGTGTCACTGCATTCTAGTTCCAAGGATCAGGACCCCACAAAACTGCCTCCTTCAAAAATGGGTCTCCTTGGCAAACCAATAACAGTTCTCTTGTGACTGCTGCAAATGGAAGCTCAATATTTTAGGGGTTGCTACAGACTAAGGGGAGGGGAATCCAGGCTTCACAGTCATTCAGGTCACAGACAAAGACAAACAAACACTGACAAAGATGAACAAATATTCAGTCCTACGGATATACAAGACGGGATGAAATCCTGAAGATGACAGTCCTTGTCTTTATGTTGGGAGTTCCCCTTGTTAAAATGGATGGAGATGTCTCTCAATCTCCCAGACCTGAAGGGGAGTCCTCCCTTTTCCCAACAACCCTGAATCCCTTGACCTAGGTCCTAACCCTGACAACCCAGAGTCCTAATGATCAAAACCGAAATTACTCTTTTAAGTCAGTTCACAAAACTGCCACCACTTACCGCTGCAAAAGAACGCTGAACTGCTGGGCACGGTGGCTCACACCTGTAATCCCAGCACTTTGGGAGGCCGAGGTGGCGGATCTCGAGGTCAGGAGATCGAGACCATCCTGGCTAACATGGTGAAACCCTGTCTCTACTAAAGTACAAAAAAATTAGCTGGGCATAGTGGCGGGCACCTGTAGTCCCAGCTACTCGGGAAGTTGAGGCAGGAGAATGGCGCGAACCTGGGAGATGGAGCTTGCAGTGAGCTGAGATCGCGCCACTGCACTCCAGCCTGGGTGACAGAGCAAGACTCCATCTCAAAAAAAAAAAAAAAAAAAAGCGCTGAATGAAAAGGTCCAAGTGGCCATCTCTGCTCTCCCTGGGAGGTCCTGTGGCACCTGTGGGTTGACCAGACACCAGACAGGAGTGTCCTGAGGCCCTTCTCCAGTTTCCCTCTCAGCAACTTAGGTGAGTTAGCCCAAGTGTCCACAGGTTGTGGCTTCACCTGATTGGAAGCCTATAAGGGAGACTGAGTCAGAGCTTGGTCCACAGTCCCACCTGGGGTACCAGATTTGTTACCCCCAAAATACCAGGGTTCACTCACCTCATGAATAACAAAGGACTCTCCACAAGAACACTGTCTTTGATCAATAGGAGTTTTATTTAACTCAAGTAAGGGTGACACTGGGGGTATTCTCCAAAGCAGTGTCTTTCCGAGGGAAAGTGACAGGAGGGTTTTATGGCGCAATGGAGAGGAGACAGGGAGCATCATTGCATGACGAGGAGAGGTCTAGTTGCACAGATGCAGTGAGTCATTACGTCAGCGCATAGGTTGCATGTCATGGTAATGAAGCTACAGGTTGCCCAGGGTGGAGACTTTAGCGTGGTCATGAGAAAGTTCACTTGCGTTCATCTGTATGTTGCCGGGGGTCTGTCAAGAGCTGGTTTAAACCAACAAGGTGACTGCATTTTACCCAGGGTTTGTGGAAGAACAGGCTGCAGGGCAGGAGGCTGTAAACCAGGCTCATTGCTGAAGTTGGTTAAATTCCTGTTATCCCTGGAGACCCTCCCCGTCTGCTTATGAAGGTGGACTGATGAGAATTTATGTTCAGATGTTGGCCAACTGGGGCTCTTGTTCTCTTGGGAGATTGCGAAGCTGGGATGATGTAGACTTGAGTTGCTTCAGTCATGCCTTCTACTTGCTGCAGAAGGAAGAGTCTGCAGGGGCAAAGAGAAACAAACAGAGATCAAGAGGAAGCTGGATGGTGTTCGTCTGAGAAACTTGCTTCAAACCTTACAGTTCCTGAGGCCACTCTTCAACTGCCCAGTTACTCAGGACAATAGATTCCCTTTTTTTGCTTAAGCCTTTTGAGCTGACTTTCTATCCCTTGCAACTAGAAGGGATGGGGTAATTTACCTGAGACTGGTAAATTACCCGGGGTAGGTAAAATACCCAAGACTGGGTAATTTATAAAGAAAAGAGGTTTAATTGGCTCACAGTTGTGCATGGCTGGAAAAGAGAGACTCAGCTTCCCCTAGTCAGGTACCTAGATGAGGCATGGTTCAGGTCCCAGTGATGACCCCTTCCAGCCAGAGCCATTCAGCCATTGGAGATCACAAAAGGCTCCTTGGAAGAGTGGTACTGCCACAGTGATGTCCCTGACTACTGATCTTCCAAAAAGTAGGCATGAGCCCTGAGGACCTCTTATGCTCTCTTCTGTCCTCACCTCCGAAGCTGTAACATTAGCAAAAATGCAGTGCACCTTATGATCAACTAGCACCATTCCCAGCCATGGCTCAGCACCTGCTATTAATCTCTGACTGCGTACCGCTTGAAAAGCATGCCTCATTTCCTATCACAAAACCATTTAATTGGATTATGGATCCTTGCACTCACAATTTCTTCATGAGTACAAACCATCATTGATGAGGTGAAATGTGCTTACTGTTGCAGCCCTGACACAGGAAGTCCCACATCTCCACCCCCATGCCCGCATGTTTGCTCTCATCCACATCTGTAATTTGTACCTGTGGGTGTGCCCCCAATGCAGCTTCCCCTTCCCTTAGGCCTGCGGGGCCTTCACCTGGGTATTGACTCCTCTGGAATTTCTCCAAGCCTCCTCTTGCTGATTTCCAAAGTGAGCCTCATTAACAGTTTCCCTGTATTCTTCTGAACCAAATACACGGTTTCTAAGAGGCAACCTCAAGGGATGGACTTTGGAGTCAAATAGACTTATGTTTGGATTTCAGTACTATTAACAACTAGTTATACAACTCTGGATAAGCCTCACTTTTCTCATCTGTAAAATGGAGATGTCCTAGGCTTCCCAGGCAGTGTGGGATGAAATATTTGGCAACAGCTTCCTCCCCTTGGATCCATTTGCATGTGTTATGTTGCATCAGAAACAGGTGCCTTCTGTTTGGAGGTATGCAGTAAAAGTTTTTAACAACCAGCATATATGTACATACATAAGTTCATTATGCATTTTACTGATAAAAAAGATGCTTGGCACACAATTTACAAATTATAATGAAATATACAATCTTCTTTATTGTAAACTCTTTACGGCCAGTTGGTTCTCACAAAATGTCTTTATTGATTTTTGGCTGAATTCTTCTATCCTTAGCCAACTTTTAGCTGCAACTAACAAACAATTGTACTTCTGGCATGAATGTTCGTTGATATTTTTGTGTGCATGTTAATGAGTAAGAAGTATGTTGTGAGCTAAAAATAATAGTTTTTGAATACTTAAAAATATTTCCTTTGGCTGGGCACAGTGGCTCACGCCTGTGATCCCAGCACTTTGGGAGGGTGAGACAGGCAGATTGCTTGAGCCCAGAAGTTTGAAACCAGCCTGGGTAACATGGTGAAACCCCATCTCTATAAAAAATAAAAAAAAATAGTTGGGTGTGGTGGAGCACACCTGTAGTCCTAGCTATTTGGGAGGCTGAAATGGGAGGATCACCTGAGGCAGGGAGGTCAAGGCTGCAGAGAGCCATGATCGCACCACTGCATTCCAACCTGGGTGATGAAGTGAGACCCTGTCTCAAAAAATAATAATAATACTAAAAAAAACTTTCTTAATTTTTAGTGCTGTTTACACTGCAGACATGATGCACTTTTAAACTTAATATGCATTTTTAATATGTTCTTAAGTCTTTAGTCTAGCTCAGGGATCAACAAATTATGGCCCTTGGGCCAAATCTGGCCCACTGCCTATTTTTGTAAATAAAGTTTATTGGAACACAGCCATGTCCATTCCTTCAGGTATTGTCTGTGGCTGCTTTCATGCTACAAGAGCAGAGTTGGGTGGCTGCGACAGAGACCAGATGGCCCACAAAGCCTAGAAGATTTACCACCTGGCCCTTTAACAGGAGAAGTTTGCTTACCCTCCTTCCCTATACCTACAACCAATAAAATAATAAATTCAATCAATAAATCAAAACAATAAATTTGCAGTGGTTGCTGATTTTCTTGGTATTCATAGTCCCACTATGGCAAATTTCAAGTTCTAACTCTGTGTCACTGAATACACAGTGAGAAGGAGATTGACAGAATATAATATTCTCACTGCACAGATACAATAGATGTAAATAAGCTAAAGAGCATAGATAATAGTAAAATGTCACAAAATAATTAGGGATGATAAGTTTTGAGTATTACTTTGTTTTAACATAATTTCTTTAATTGTAAATCTATATTATTTAATTTTTAATAATGATCATCTTTAACCAACTCATAAAAAGTTCTGAGAATATAACAATTGGCTGTCGTGAGCTGGTACACACCAGCTCCCTGCCCCTGGGGAAAAATTGGAACTGTTTCTATGCTGAGGTTTGAATATACAAAGGGTGATTTAGTTAGAGATGGGGTGGGCAAGGGGAAGGGCAGAGGCCAACAGCAGGCAAATAGCAAAGAAGCAGAGTAGACCCCTCTAAGGAGAATTCTTCCTGAAGAGCAAGTGTCTGATTCCATTCAGAGTCTGAGAATCGATGGAGATAAGCCAGGGTCCCCAGGCAGCTGTTGCTTTAATCCACCCAATCCAGTTATTCTGGCGGAAGTTGCATGCCTGACTAGGAAGGGGGCTCTAAGTAAACCTAAAAGAGCTGAAATATCCCTGGATGCATCAGCTTTGCTGGGGGACCCGCCCCCAAGTCAATGGGTCTCAGATAAATACAGAGTGCTTCTGTACCCACGGTGCAGCTGGCAAAGGAACACTCTTATCTGGGGTAGAATGGCAATGGTGGCCACCCAGACACTGGTTCAAGTGGAGCATTGCTTGGTTGCCAGAGCCATTCTGGTTAGAGAGATAATAATACTTCCTCACAGGGTGTTTTTGAGTTGACAGTGAGATAATAACATGCCAGGCACCTAGCACAGCATAGGTATTTAATAAGCATCTGTCTGGTCTGCTGCTTGTTTTCCCTCTCTCTACTATTCCAAGGCAGCTACCTCAACTTTATTATCTTGGTCCCTGATATGATTAGGCTTTATATCCCCACAAGAATTGTAATCCCCATAATCCCCATGTGTCAAGGGAGATAACAGGTGGAGGTAATTGAATCATGGGGGCGGTTTCCTCCATGCTATTCTTGTGATAGTGAGTTCTCACAAGATCTGATGGTTTTATAAGAGGCTCTTCCCACTTCGGTCGGCACTTCTCCTTCCTACTGCCTTGTGAAGAAGGTGCCTTGCTTCCCCTTTGCCTTCCGCCATGATTGTAAGTTTCCTGAGGCCTCCCCAGCCATGGTGAACTGTGAGTCAATTAAATCTCTTTCCTTTATAAATTATCCAGTCTCAGGTAGTACCTTTACAGCAGTGTGAGAATGGACCAATACTGTCCCTAAGTAACTTGCCTTGCCTTCCAGATGCACAAAAGGCATCCAGCTCAGGTAACTCACTGAGCATTGTTCAGCATGAAGCCTATATTTCAGTTAGCTCCTGCTGTGTAACAATTCATCTCAAAATTCACTAAGATTCACAAAAACAATAATGATTAATGTTGCTCATGAGTCTTTTATCTTTACTAGATAGTTCTTTTAGTCAGAGCTGGGCTTTCTCTGCACCTGTGGTCAGTTAGGTATCTTTATTGATCTTGGTTGTACTCCTTCACATGTCTAGGGCTTGGCTGGGACAACTGGGGTGACTTGGCAGTGTTTTATGTGGTCTCATACTGCAACAGGTTAGCCTGGGCTTGAGCTCATGGCAGAAGAAGGATCTAAGAGAGCAAGCACAAACACTGCAAGCCCTCTTGAAGCCTAGAGTTGGAATTTGCACACCACTTACACTCTATTTGATTGGCCAAAGCAAGTCAAAGGCCTGGCCAGAGTCATAGTGGGTGGGGACAATGAAATTACAGGCAAGGGGCATGAATATAGGAGGTCGTTAATCAGGGCCAGCAATGAATCGATCCTCCACAAAGCCAAAGTGTTTGTTACCACCTGCATGACACTTTCGCATGTGGGGGACACACAGGGATCCCAAACAGGGCTGCTTAAGGCTCTGCTTTGCTCTCAGGCCCCCTGCCTCTTCAGGCATCAGAGGCCACTGTTCTGGGCCCTTGGGGTTTCCTTTTCAGGAGATTATAATTTTGGCTTATTTTCTTACAAATGGTCTTTCTGAACATGAAATATCCAAGGAAAGTCCTTGCCATATTAGAAAAAAAACTGTGGGAACTGGATATGTATAGATTTAGAATTTTATTACTTTTAAGGGTATATGACTTACTTCTCAAGTATTTTCTTTTTCTTTTTTTTTTTGAGATGGAGTCTCGCTCTGTTGCCCAGGCTGGAGTGCAGTGGCGCGATCTCAGCTCACTGCAAGCTCCGCCTCCCGGGTTCACGCCATTCTCCTGCCTCAGCCTCCCGAGTAGCTGGGACTACAGGCGCCCACTACCATGCCTGGCTAATTTTTTGTATTTTTTAGTAGAGATGGGGTTTCACCGTGTTAGCCAGGATGGTCTCGGTCTCCCGACCTTGTGATCCGCCCGCCTCGGCCTCCCAAAGTGCTGGGATTACAGGCGTGAGCCACCGCGCCCGGCCTTTCTCAAGTACTTTCAATGGAGTCCCAGCTCCTCTCTAATTCTCTCTTTCCTTGCTCCAGGGAAATCATTTATCCTGGTTTTACTCCCATCTCCAGACCTCTTGGTCTCATTCTCCCTGGAGCATCCTTCTTTGTGCGCTCTTGAGTTCTCCCAGAAGCAGATGTTGAAACTAAGATTTGAGTGTGAGTGATCTATCTGGGAGGTGATCATAGGGCACACCAGTGGAGCCATTGAGAAGTGAGACAGGGAAGTGAAAGATGCAAGTACAGGGTATAGTAATGAGGAGGTAACTGCTGTGAGCAACTGCGGCTAGATCCCACCGGGACCTCTGTGAGATGGTGGGGAACACATTTGAGTTGTCCCACAAGAGTCCCATCAACATTGGCTAAGGGCTGTTTACCCTGGCATTTCTGGCCTGCATCAAGCTCAACTTGAGAGAAAGCCCTTGGATGGAGTTACAATAGGATGCCATTGGCATGCTTGGAAACAGTGAGTGCTGAGCACATTGGGCAGGGTACTGAGGCTCCTGTCATAACCCCATAAATGCAGGTTTTGCCCTCTATTCTCTTTTCTGCCCATACTCAGTGCTCTCTATGTGCAATCTCATACACTTCATGGCTTCAATATCAATCCACATACCAATTTTTGCCAAATCTCTGTCCCCAGCCATATTCTCTTTCTCAGGTTTTAAGCTTCTATTTTCCACTGCTTAATAGAATTCTCCACTTGAATGTCCAACAGGCATCTTGAAGGAAACACGTCAGAAGCTAAACTTATCACCCTTTTCTTCCTACCCCTCTCCGGACCACACATTCCTTTCATAATCTCATTCTTAGTGGATGACATCACCATTCTCATCCTCCTAAGCTAGAAATTTGAGTCATCTTTTTGCAACATCCCTATGATTAGTCTTCCTGCTGTCATATTTTCCTGCTCCAACCTATCCAATATTTAGCAGCCAGAACTATTTTCATACAGTGTGCTCATACCACTTTCCTGAAAGCATGTCTATCATCTGTTGTAAAAGACACCTTTTGAGATATCTGCCTTGCTCCTAATGGCCCCTGTAACTTACCTTTATATTCGCATAGATGAGTCTGTTGCAACCGTGTTACCTTTAAGACTATCCTCATCTCCACCATCACAGTTAGTTGTATGAGCTTCACTAGTCAGAGTCTCCCAGGGACTTCTAGTGTTCTTGAATAGAGAGAAAGTAAAACTTGAGCTGGGCATAGCAATATTTCTTCTACCATACTGACTGAAAACACAGAAAACTGGTCCATAGAGAAAGAAAGAAGAAGCTGTGATGGACATGTTTTGACTGTCCAGTATCTCTGTGAGAAATCACCCTTTTCATTCTCAGTCCACGGTTCAGGTGGACTCCCATCAGGGAGGCATGGCCAGAGAACTCTGCTCCCCTGACTACAGTGATTGGCTTGAGGTTGAACACATGACTCAGGCTTGACCAATCAGTGTACTCTGATTTCTGGCTACAGTGATTAGTTCAAGAGTGGGTTTATGACCCAACACCAGGCCAATCAGCCATTCCCAGAGCTTTAGCTGGAACTGTCAGGCAAGAGACTCTCTTTTGGCGACAATCATGAGGTATATAGATGATTTAAGATGAGGGTGGCCATCTTTGCCACCACGTAAAGAGATTCTTCTTGAAAATGAAGCAAATGAAGAGGAAAGAAGAACAAAATAGTGACAAGATTCCCATGAAGGCACTTGAACTGTTGCATCCAACAGTGCCTGGAGTTGTATTTATTATACTTCTGGACACCTCACTTAAAAAAAGTTGTGGTAACCTATACAAAGCATTTACTATTTTAACCATTTTTAAGTGTAAAGTTCTGTGGCATTAGGTATCTTCACATTATTGTGCAGTTGTCACCACCATCCATCTGTGGAATATTTTCATCTTCCCACACTTCCCAATTCCTCCTTGGCCCCAGCCCCTGGCAAGCACCCTTTTACTTTTTGTCTCTATGAATGTACTATAGGTACCTCACAGAAGTAGAGTGATACAATATTTGTCATTTCGTGACTAGCTTATTTCACATAGCGAAATGTCCTCAAAGTTAACCCCTGCTATAGCATGTGCCTAGACTTCCCTTTGAGAGTAAAAAAAATCCCTTTCTGGCTTAAACTATTTTGAGTTATATTTCTGTCACTTATGACCAAAAGAACAGGTTAATAGAAAATGGATATGGAGAGGGGGGGGGAAAAAAACCAAGATAAAAGATTGAGGCGATCACACCTGTAATCCCAGCACTTTGGGAGGCTGAGGCAGGTGGATTGCTTGAGGTCAGGAGTTCAAGACCAGCCTGACCAACATGGCAAAACCCCATCTCAATTAAAAATACAAAAAATTAGCTGGTCGTGATGCTGCGCACCTGTAGTCCCAGCTACTCGGGAGGCTGAGGCAGGAGAATCGCTTGAACCTAGGAGGCGGAGATTGCAGTGAGCCGACATGACGCCACTGCACTCCAGTTTGGGTAACAGAGGGAGACCTTGTCTAAAAAAAAAAAAAAAAAAAAAAAAAAAGAAAGAAAAAAAAAGAGAGAGGAGGAGAGTTTCTTTAGCTTTCCAGTTACCAATTTCAGCCTCTTTTTAAGTCTGACTATATAAAGCCCTTGAGTTCTCTGAACACTGAAGGTCATCTTTTTCACTTTTAGGCCAGTTTATTTGGTTAAAAGCAGAGTTGTAACCAACACACCTCCTCATTCTATCTAGGATAAAGCCTGAACTTCTCCAGCATGGATAAAGAGCTTCCATCTGCTTTAGGGCCTGTCCCCACCAGGTGAATCCTATTCTTAATCCTCTCAGAAGCTCTTGCCATTTACCAAATAATCTCCCTTTCTCCTGCCTCTCTGCCTCATGCTGTCCTCTCTGCCTAGAATGTCTCTCTTTTCCTAACCAGAAAACTCCTACATAGCCTTCAAGACTCTGCTCAAGTGTTACCTTCTCTTTGCAGGCTTCTCTGACTTCCTTTTCACTCTCCCAAGCCAAGGACACCTTGTATAGCAACTGTTTGTAGGTTTATCAGTCATTAGTCTAAGAGCTCCATGAGGTCATGGGTTGTGTTTGCTTCTTTGTGTCCCAGGACCTGGCACAATTGCTGGCACTTAGTGAGTTTTTCTTGAATAAATGAATATAAAAATTACTTGATAATTTTCAATATTTGATATCCAAATAATACACTGAAAGCTTTAAAAATATTTTATCATCTAAATGGGTTAAGTATGTCTCTGAAAGCTTTTTAAAACTTACTACTTCCACCACTAATAAAAAATTCAGAGTGAGCCTTCAGCCCAGTGCACACAGATTTAACAAACATTTCCAAGAGTGGAAACCCAGATTCATGAGACTTGACCATATTTAGTCAGAAGGAGAACAGCATTTTCTGTGGCCTGGTTTGTTCTTTGCAGTATTTATTCTTTTTAAGGACATATGATGCCAGTAAATTTCTAGTTATATTGGATTGTTCTTTAATCCTTAGATTCCTGGGTGAACTACAGAACTGATGGGTCCTGACATAACGAAAAAATTCCACCTTCCTTTGCTGCCTAGCACTGCCTCTTTCTTTTTCTTTTTTTGTTGCAATTGTCTCTCACTGACGTATTTGAAGGATATTTGAGCTGGAAAGCTCAACCAAATGATGCGTTTTTGCTAATATGATGACTTCTCCATAGACTTCTTTAGATTTATATATGTTCCTGTGCAACTTATCAAACCTTCTCATAGTGCCTCCTGGCTTATCATGGCTTTTGAAAGAATAGAGGATCTTTGTCATTTGAAAAGTTTCATGTCTTTGATTTTTTTTCACCCACTGGTATTAGGATTCACAAGTACAGACTATTTTCTTCAAATTTCTCTCTTCACCTAATTCTGTTTTTTCTCCAAAAAAGTACTTTGTATGATTTTGGTATTATTACATGTTCATTTGGAAACTTGGAAAAGGATAAAGAAGAAAAGAATCATCATTGATAATCTCACAGAGACTAATTTTGTTAAGATATTGGTATATTTGCTACTTGCTAAGATATTGCTATATTCTTCTCCATTCTGTTCTTTCTTTAAAATAACTATACTGAGGTATAGCTGACGTAAAATAAGATGCACATATTTAAAGTGTGCAATTTGATGAGTTTTAGCATATTTACAAACTTGTGAAACCATCACTACAATCAAGATCATGAATATCACTACCATCGCCCCCAAGTTTCCTGGTGCCCCCTTTGTAATCCCTCCCTTCTGCTCTACCCCCAGGTAACCATGCATCTGCTTTCTTTCACTAGAGATTAGTTTGACTCTTCTAGAAATTTATATAATTAGAACCATACATTATGCATTCTTTTCTTTTTTTTTTTGATCCAGCTTTTTTACTCAGCATAATTATTCTGAAATTTTACGTGCTGTTGTGTGTTCATTCCTTTTTATTGATGAGTAGTATTCTATTGTATGGATATGCCACAGTTTGTTTATGAGCCTGTAGACCAACATTTGGTTGTTTCCAGATATTACAAAAAAAAAAACCTACTGTAAATTAAAATCACAATGAAATACCACCTTACTCCTACAAGAACGGCCATAATTAAAAAGTCAAAAAACAATAGATGTTGGTGTGGATGTGGTCAAAAGGTAACAGTTTTACATTGCTGGTGGGAATATAAGTTAGTACAACCAATATGGAAAACGGTATAGAGATTCCTTGGGGAATAAAAATGAAAGTACCATTCGATCCAGCAATTTCACTACTGAGTATCTACCCAGAAGAAAAGAAGTCATTATATGAAAAAGACACATGAACATGCATGTTTATAGCAACAGAATCCACAATTGCAAAGATATGGATCCAACCTAAATGCCCATCAACTGAGTGCATAAAGAAAATGTGGTGTGTATACACCATGGAATACTACTCAGTCATAAAAGGGAATGAAATAATGTCTTCTGCAGCAACTTGGATGGAGCTAGAGGACATTATTCTAAGTGAAGTAACTCAGGAATAGAAAACCAAATATCATATGTTCTCACTTATAAGTGGGAGCTAAGCTATGAGGACACAAAAGCATAAGAATGACATAATAGACTTTGAGGACTCAGAGGAGAAGTTTGGGAGGGAGGTGATGGATACAAAACTACATATTGGGTGCAGTGTACACTGCTCAGGTGATGGATGCACTAAAATCTCAGAAATCACCACTAAAGAACTTATCCATGCAACAAAAACCACTTGTACCCCCAAAACTATTGAAATAAAAATAAACAAATAACGAAAAAAGCTACTGTGAATACTCCTGTACAGGCCGTTTTGTAGACATATGCTTTCATTTCTCTTGGATGAATAACAATGAGTAGAATGGCTGGGTCATATGGTAAATGTATTTTTTACTTTTTTAGGAAACTACCAAAGTAGTTTCCCAAGCAGTTGTGTAATTTTACATTCTCATCAGCAGTATATGAGCGTTCTAATCCTCCACATCTGTATTAGACCATTCTTATGCTGCTAATAAAGAAAGACATACCTGAGACTGGGTAATTATAAAGGAAAGAAGTTCAATGGAGTCACAGTTCCACACGGCTGGGGAGGCTTCACAATCATGGTGGAAGATGAAGGAAGAGCAAAGAGACATCTTATGTGGCAGCAGGCAAGAGAATGTTTGCAGCAGAACTCCCCTTTATAAAACCATCAGATCTCATGAGACTTATTCACTATCACGAGAACAGCATGGGAAAGACCTGCTCCCATGATTCAGTTATCTCCCACTAGGTCTCTCCCATGACACGTGGGAATTATGGGAGCTACAATTCAAGATGAGATTTGGGTGGGGAGACAGCCAAATCATATTAGCATCCTTGTCAATACTTGCTACACTCCACCTTCTTAAAAATTTTTTTTGAGCTTCATTTCCAGTTCTACTTTTTTTTTCGACTTTTTTTTAGGTTCAGTGGGTACATGTGCAGGTTTGTTATGTGGGTAAATTTCATGTCACTGGGGTTTGGTATGCAAATGATCCCATCACCCAGGTAGCACACACAGTACACGATAGTTTTACAACCCTCACTGCCCCCCACCCCAAGATGTCCCCCAATAGTCCCCAGTGTCTATTGTTTTCATCTCCATGTCCTTGGGTATTGAATGCTTAGTTCCCATGTATAAGTAAGAACTTGTGGTATTTGGTTCTCTGTTCCTGCATTAACTTGCTTAGGATAATGGCCTCTAGCTGCATCCATGTGGCTTTAAAGGACATGATTTCATTCTTTTTATGGCTGCATACTATTCCACAGTGTGTGTATATATATATATATATATATATATATATATATATATATATATATATATATATATATCACATTTTCTTTATTCAGTCTATTGTTGATGGGCATCTAGGATAATTCCATGTCTTTGGTATTGTGAATAGTGCTGGGATGAATATATGAGTACATGTGTGTTTGTGGCAGGATGATTTATTTGCTTTTGAATATATATCCAGTAGTGGGCTTGCTGGGTCAAATGGTAGTTCTGCTTTAAGTCCTTTGAGAAATCTCCAAACTGCTTTCCACAGTGGCTGAACTAATTTATATTCCCACCAACAATGTATAAACCTTTCCTTTTCTCTGCAACCTCTCCAACATCTGTTATTTTCATGCAAGTATTAATAAATAAAGACTCCATTGGCCTGACGCAGCTCCCTCAAACTCTGCTTGAAGAGATGACTCTTGACCTGTGGTTCTCCAGTGTAAAAAAGATGACTGAACCTTGCAGAACCTGACTTTTTAATAATAGCCATTCTGACCAGTGTGAGATGGTATCTCATTGTGGTTTCGATTGGCATTTCCCTGATGATTAGTGACGTTGAGCATTTTTTCATATGTTTGTTCACTGTATGTATGTCTTCTTTTGAGAAGTGTCTATTCATGTGGTTTGGTCATTTTTATACAGGGTAATAGGTTGTCTGATTACTCTGTTAATAGTTTCTGCTGTGCAGAAGCTTTTTAGTTTAATGATGTCCCACTTGTCAATTTTTTGTTTTGTTGCAATTGCTTTTGAGGACTTAGTCATCAATTATTTGCAATGGCCAATGTTCAGCATGGTGTTTCCTAGGTTTTCTTCTAGTATTTTAATAGTTTTAGATCTTACATTTAAGTCTTGAACCCATCTTGAGTTTGTTTTTTGTATATGGCGAAAGGTACGGGTCTAGTTTCAATCTTCTGCATATGGCTGCCTTGTTATCCCAGCACCTTTTATTGAATAGGGAGTCCTTTCCCCTTTGCTTGTTTTTGTCAACTTTGTTGTAGGCATGTGGCTTTATTTCTGGGCTCTCTATCCTGTTCCATTGGCCTATGTGCCTGTTTTTATGCCAATACCATGCTGTTTTGGTAGTGTGATGCCACTGACTTTATCTTTTTGTTGTTGTTGCTTAGGATTGTCTTACTATTCAGGCTCTTTTTATTGGTTCTATATTAATTTTAGAATAGTTTTTTTCTAATTCTGTGAAAAATGATGTTAGTAGTTTGACAGGAATACCATTCAATCTGTAAATTGCTATGACCATCTTAACAATATTGATTCTTCCTATCCATAAGGATGCAGTGTTTTTCCATTTGTTAGAGTCATCTCTGATTTCTTTCAGCAGTGTTTTGTAATTCTCATTGTAGAGATCTTTCGCCTCCTTGGTTAGCTATAGTCCAAGGTGTCTTATTCTTTTTGTGGCTGTTATAAATTGGATTGCATTCTTGATTTGGCTCTTAGTTTGAACATTATTGGCGTATAGAAATGCTATTAATTTTTGTACATTGATTTTGTATCGTGAAACTTTACTGAAGTTCTAGGAGCCTTTTGGCAGAGTCTTTAAGGCTTTCTAGGTATAGTGTCATATCATCTATGAAGAGAGATAATTTCACTTCCTCTCTTCCTATTTGGATGCTTTTTATTTCTTTCTCTTGCTTGATTGCTCTGGCTGGGACTTCCAGTACTATGTTGATTAGGAGTGGTAAGAATAGGCATCCTTGTCTTGTTCTGGTTCTCAAGGGGAATGCTTTTGGCTTTTGCTTGTTCAGTATGATGTTGGCTGGAGATTTGTCATAGATGGCTCTTATTATTTTGAGGTGTGTTCCTTTGATGCCTAATTCATTGAGGATTTTTAACATGAGGGATGTTAAATTTTATCGAAAGCTTTTTCTGTGTCTATTGAGATGATCATATAGTTTTTGTTTTTAATTTTGTTTATGTGGTGAATCACATTTATTGATTTGCATATATTGAAACAACCTTGCATCCCAGGAATAAAGCCTACTTGATTATAGCGAATTAACTTAGTGATATGCTGCTGGATTCAGTTTGCTAGTATTTTGCTGAGGATTTTCACATCTATGTTCATCAGGGATATTGGCCCAAAGTTTTCTTTTGTATTGTATTTCTGCCAGGTTTTGGTATTAGAATGATGCTGGCTTCATAGAATGAGATCAGAAGGAGTCCTTCCTGCTTGATTTTTTGGAATAATTTCAGTAGCATTGGTACTAGCTCTTCTTACATGCCTGGTAGAATTTTGCTGTGAATCCATCTGGTCCAGGGCTTTTGTTGGTTGGTAGGTTTGTTTATTACTGATTCAATTTTGGAACTCGTTATTGGTCTGTTCAGGGTTTCAGTTTCTTGCTTCAATTTTGGGAGGTTGTGTGTTTCCAGGAATGTATCAGTTTCTTCTAGGTTTTCTAGTTTGTGTGCATAAAGGTGTTCATAATAGTCTCAGAGGACTTTTTGTATTTCTGTGGGGTCAGTTGTAACGTCACCTTTGTCATTTCTGATTGTGCTTATTTGGATCTTCTCTCTTTTTTCCTTTGTTAATCTAGCTAATGTTCTATCAATCTTGTTTATTCTTTCAAAGAACTATCTTTTGGTGTCATTGACCTTTTTTGTATGGAATATCACATCTCAATTTCTTTCAGTTTTGCTCTGATTTTTATTATTTCTTTTTTCTGATAACTTTGGGATTGGTTGGCTTTTGTTTTTCTAGTTCTTCCAGATGCAATGTTAGGTTGTTAATTTAAGATCTTTCTGAATTCTTGATGTAGGTGTTTAGCACTATAAACTTTCCTCTTAACATTGCTTTAGCTGTGTCCCAAAAATTCTGGTGTGTTGTGTCTCTGTTTTCATTAGTTTTAAAGAATTTTTTGATTTCTGCCTTAATTTCATTCTTTACCCAAAACTCATTCAGGAGCAAGTTGTTTAATTTCTATGTAATTGTATAGTTTTGAGAGGTCTTCTTGGTATTGATTTATATTTT
Organism: Homo sapiens; assembly: GCF_000001405.40. Classification (NCBI taxonomy): domain Eukaryota; kingdom Metazoa; phylum Chordata; class Mammalia; order Primates; family Hominidae; genus Homo; species Homo sapiens. Next base: position 32,129,027 of record NC_000011.10, on the reverse strand, counting down.
TATTGTACTGTGGTCTGAGAGTGTGATTGGTGTGATTTCATTTTTTTTGAATTTGTTGAGACTAGCTTTATAGCTGAACATGTGGTCAGTCTTAGAGTAAGTGCTGTTTACACATGAGAAGAATGTATATTCTGTTGTTGGATGGAGTATTCTGTAGATGTCTATTAGGTCCAATTGGTCAAGTGTCAAGTTTAAGTCCAGAATATCTTTATTAGCTTTCAGCTTTGATGATTTGTCTAGCACTGTCAGTGGGGTGTTGAAGTCTCCCACTATTATTGTGTGGTTATCTAAGTCTCTTCTTGGGTCTCTAAGAACTTGTTTTATTAGTCTAGGTGCCCCAATATTGCGTGCATATATATTTAGGATAGTTAAGTCTTTTTGTTAAATTGAACCCTTTATCATTGTATAATGCCCTTCTTTGTCCTTTTTGATAATTATTGATTTAAATTCTGTTTTATATGACACAAGAATAGCAACTCCTGCTCTTTTTTGTTTGTCATTTGCATGATAGATCTTTCTCCATCCCTTTACTTTGAGCCATTACGTGTGAGATGGATATCCTGAAGACAGCAAACAGTTGGGTCTTGCTTCTTTATCCACCTTGCCACTCTATGCCTTTTAAGTGAGGTATTTAGCCCATTTGCATTCAATTAATATTGATATGTGAGGATTTGATCCTGTCATCATGTTGTTAGCTGGTTGTTGTTTAGATGTGATCGTGTAGTTGCTTTATAGTGCTGGTGGCTATGTACTTAAGTGTGTTTTTTTATGGTGACAGGTATCTTTCTTTCATTTCCATACTTAGCATTCCTTTAAGGACCTCTGGCAGGTCTAGTGGTAACAAATTCCCTTAGCATTTGCTTGTCTGAAAAGGATTTTATTTTTTCCTTTGCTTATGAAGCTTAGTTTGGCAGGATAAGAAATTTTTAGTTGGAATTTATTTTCTTTAAGAATGCTGAAAATATGCCCCCAATCTCATCTGGCTTGTAAGATTTCTGCTGAAAGGTCCACTGTTAGCCTGATGGGGTTCCCTTTGCAAGTGACCTGCCCTTTCTGTCTAGCTGCCTTTAATTTTTTTCTTTTATATTATTTTGGAGAATCTGATGATCATGTGTCTTGGGAATGGTTGTCTTGCATAGTGTCTTGCAGGAGTTCTGTGAATTCCTTAAATTTACGTGTTAACCTCTTTAGCAAGATTGGGGAAATTTTGTGGACTATATCCTCAAATATGCTTTCTAAGTTGCTTACTCTTTCTCCTTCTCTTTGAGAAATGTCAGTAGGTTTGGTCTCTACATAGTCCCATGTTTCTTAGAGGTTTTTGTTCCTTTTTAAAAATGCTTTTTTTCTTTATTTTTGTCTGCTTACATTGACTCAAAGGAGGAGTCTTCAAGTTCTGAGATTCTTCCCTCAGCTTGATCTATTCTGTTGTTAATACTTCCATTTGTATTATGAAATTCTTGTGGTGAATTTTTCAATTCTAGAAATTCAGTTTGGTTCTTTCTTAAGGTGGCTATGCCATCTTTCAATGATTGGATCATTTTGCTGTTTTCTTGGAACGAGGTTTAACCTTCTCCTGTGTTTCATTGAGCTTCCTTGCCATCCAAATTCTAAATTCTGTGTTTGTCATTTCAGCCTTTTCAATCTGTTTAAAAATCATTCCTGGAAGCTAGCCTGGTCATTTGGAGGTAAAAAGACACTCTGGCTTTTAAAGTTGCCAGAGTTCTTGTGCTGGTTCTTTCTCATCTGTGAGAGCTGGTGTTCCTTTATCCTTTGAAGTTGCTTTCCTTTGGAGAGGGCTTTTCATTTATATGTTATTTACCTGGAAGGTTTGACTGTGGAATAAGTTGGGTATAGTTGATTGGCTTCATTTCTGGATGCTTTCAGAGGACCAAGGCTCAGCTTGGCACTCCTGGGCTATGTGCTCTAACCCAGCAGGGCTGGGACCAGGCCCACAGCTTTGTCTTCTCGCTTCTCAAAGTTGAGCACTGGCTGAGTTTGGGGGGGTTGGGGGAGACAAGGTTCTCCCAAGCTGCTAGCAAAATTGCTCCACTGGGGGTAGTGGCAAAAGTGCCCCATTGGGGTGGCAGGGGCTGCTGGTGAAAGTGTTCCAGCAGGGCCGTGTGGGGAGCCAGTGAAAGTGCTCTGGCAGAGCAGTGGAGGCTGTGCTGTGTGCCTGCTCCCATGGGAGGGGCTCCCAGGCAGGGACCCTGGGAGGGGCTGGTGGATAGGGAGTGCACAGATCAGACTCGCCCCAGTCCTGTGGGAAAGATGGCCTTGCTGTCTTCAGGTCCAACAAATAACAAAGGTCAGAGGCACTTAAAGGAATAAGGAGAGCCTTGGGGGATGGGCATCTCTGGCTGTGTTCCTTTGCCTCTGTCCCCATGCCAAACTCGCTGGGCTCCAAAGAGACTCAGGATCTGTTTCTGCCAACTCTGCAGGCAACCCCCATGCCAACTTAAATGTCCATGATGATGTGGGATCTACTGTAGCTAGGACCCTGCAGGTCTGTGGTGAGAGTGGGCTGCCCTGCAGTTATTTCACTTACTGTTTCCTTGGGAGCCATTTAGTGCCAGGAACAAGCCCCAGCACTCAGCAACCCTGCAAGGGTTCTCAGCTTCCTCCCGCTTCAGCCCCATTGTCTCCATCATTTCTTCATCTGCTCTCAGTGCTTCCTCTCAGAAGATCTGTTCAGAGTATGCTTGTCTGCTTGATATTCTGATCTCTCTCAGGAGGAGAAGCTCTTCCTGGCTCTATCTAGTCAGTCATCTTGTCTACCTTCTTAATTTTAGATGTTCTAGTGGATGTACAATGGGTATCTCATTGTGGTTTTAATTTGCATATCCTTAATGACTAATGACATTGAACACTCTTTTATGTTCTTATTGCCATCCGTATGTATTCTTTGATGAAATACCTATTCAAGTCTTTTGCACATTTTAAAATTATACTGTATGTCTTATTATTGAGTTGTGAGTATACTTTATATATTCTAGATCCCGGTGTTTTGTCAGATATGTTTGGCTACTATTTTCTCTCAGTGTGTTGCTTATCTTTTCATTTTTGAAATAGTAGGTTTTGAAGAGTGTCTTTGTCTATTTGGGATGCCATAACAAAATGCCTTAGATTGGGTAATTTAAAAACAACAGACATTTCTGGAGTCTGGGAAGTCCAAAATCAAGGTGCCGGGAGATTTGGTGTCTGGTGAGGGCTCTCTCTGTGCTTCATAGATGGCATCTTCTTGCTGCATCCTCAGAGGGCAAAAGGGGCAAGGCAGCTCTCTGGGCTCTTTTTTTCTTTTTCTTTTTCATCCAAAGGATTATGTGAGGAGGGCCATTTTCATAAGGGCACTAACCCCCACTCATGAGAGCTCCACCCTCATGACCTAATGACTTCCCAAAGGCCCACCTTCTAATGCTATCACCTTGGTAATTGGGATTCAACATATACATTTGGGGGGACATAGATATTCATTCAGACTATAGCAAAGAGAAAATGGTGTTAATTTTGGTGGTGTCTAATGTGTTGATTTTTACCTTTATAGCTTGTACTATTGTGTGTCCTATTTAAGAATGTTTGCTAAACCCAAAGCAACAAAGATTTTCTCCTATATTTTCTTCCATACGTTTTTAAAGTTTGAGCTCTTAAATATTGATGTATGATCCATTTTGAGTTACTTTTACATGCGATGTGAGGTATGGATTCAATTTCATTTTTTAAATGTGATTCTCTAGTTGTGGCATTTTGAATAGTTTTGTATCATCCATTAGTACTCATACTAGGATGAACTTGATATCTCTGTTGTGCCATTGACTAATTGTGTGACCTTTGACAAGTCACTTTGACTTTCTGAATATCTCAATTTAAAAATCTGTAAAATAGGGATAATAGCTATTGGCTCTATTTATCTGACAGGGTAGTTACAAAGATCAATTTGAGATAAGTAATATCATTTATGATTTTTTTTCTCTGAACAGTTGGGAACTTGGGAGTCAATTCCTCCCTTCCCATCACCCCCACACTCAGGCACCTCTTAGAGATGTCTTGGATCTTTTGTCTCCTCACTGCTTCTACCCCTACTGTCCTGGTTCAGAGCAGACTCTTCTCTCACCTATACTGTTGCAAAATCCTACTAACTTATTTGCTGCTTCCAGGGTCTTGTTGTCTTCAGACCTAACCTCTCTGCTGACCCCAGGGTGACCCATCAAACCTTATTGGTCATATTCTCTTCAGCTTACCCTGTATCATCTGCAGGGTCAAGTCCAAGCTGTAGATCTTGTGTCCAGGCCATTCATGCTGTAGCTCTGCCTCACCTCAAGCCTCATCTCTCACTGCTCTCAGCCTGGCATTTTACCTGCCAAAACACACTCCCTCCACACTCCCTGAGCAGGTACGCATGCACGCATGCACACACACACGCTCACACACACACACACGCATGCATGCACAAGCACACACCCATGCCATTGTTCACCTCTATCAATCTTGACTCCAACTATGAGATTTGCTACTTCTCTGTGTTCCCAACATTCTATGGACCTTCCTCCATGCCCACAGCACCACGCTGCCTTTACCACATTGCATTATAAGTACCTACTTGTGTCTCTCACAATAGAATGTAAGTGACTCAAGGGGAGGACTATTGTTTTATTCATTTTTAATCCTTGACATCCAACATAGAGTCCTGCTCAGAGTAGAACCAAGAGTTGTTTGAAGATCTAAACATGATACCAGGAAAGGGATGACTATTATTATGAAGAATTACAGCAGTTTGGTGCAGAAATGGCTCTTAGAAATCATTCAGTAGTGTGACTATGGAACTGTCCTTACTCTTTGAAATACACACTGAAATATTTAGGAGAAAGTGGCATGACATGCACAACCTACTCTCAAATAGTTCAGAAATAATCAAAGTTAATCATAAAGCACATGTGGCAAAATGTTTAAAATGGATGACTCTATATAGAAGATACCCAGGAGTCCACTGTACCGTTCTTGCAAGCCTTTCTGTCAGTTTGAAAGTATTTTAAAATAGAATCAGGCTGGACATGGTGGCTCACACCTGTAATCCCAGAACTTTGGGAGGCCAAGGTGGACGGATTGCTTGAGCCAGGGGTTTGAGACCAGCCTGGACAACATGGAAAAAACCCATCTCTACAAAAAATATAAGAATTAGCTGGGCATGATGGTGTGTGCCTGTGGTCCCAGCTACTCAGGAGGCTGAGGTGGGAGGATCACCTGAGCCCAGAAGGTTGAGGCTTCAGTGAGACATGATCGCACCACCGCATTCCAGCCTGGGTGACAGAGTGAGAACTTTTCTCAACAAAAAACAAAAAACACAAATAAAAATAAAATCATTTAAAAAAATCACCTTTGGATTCATTAAATAAATGACGCTCTGCCCATACAAGGGCATATTCAGCAGTCATGATAAGAAATATATTTACTGGCATGGAAACGAATTCATGATATGTAATTGATCAAAGAAAGCAAGTTTCAGTATGATCTTGGTTTCATTAGAACAAAACAAAAATCTCCTCTCCTAAAAAAGTCTGGAAAGATGTATATACCAAAATGTTAATTCTGGTTATTTCTGACTTACGGAATAAAGGGTGACTTAAATTTTCTTCTTTTTACCTATACGTTCTACCTTTCTACAGTGTGCATGCATTAATTGTGTAAAAAAAGTTAATTATTTAAAAAACATGAAGAAACAAATGATAAACAAGCTTTAAAGCCACCCAAATGCTTGGACTGATGTTGGGATCCTCTTAGCTGGAGTACCTGCCTTATTTAGTAACCTCTTTCTGAGGCAGAGATTCAAGTTCTTTCAACTTCCCAAATCACACCGTGGTGATTTCAAGAAAGAAAAACTCTTCATGTTCCATCCTCTGTTTCCTCCAATTTTGCTTTCTTCAGAGAGTTATTTCTAGCATATTTGATATTCTAAATTGTTCTCCAGGGATTTTAAGTATTTTCTGACACTGGTGATTTGAAATAGAGTTTTACATTACTGCTGCGCACATTCTCCTAGACTTGTCCATAACGAATTGCAAGATGCTGGACATTGGGGACTTCGTTGAGTGCTGTGGGTGTGGGAAGCATCACCACACTCTTCTGAGCTTCCATTCTCACTGATTCACAACAGGTGCCCAGGAATGATTACTGTATCCCTAATCTGCTTAATTTTGAGGCTTGAACTATCCAGTAATCATGTTTCAGAGATGCTTTCTTAGAAATCTGTTGCTGAGTGGGCAAATCTAGCAAAGGCAAAAAGCACAACAGTTGTGATATCATTAGTGTGTAGATTCAATTTTTATCTAATCTAGTCTCTCTTTCAGAGCCATCTTTAATGGTTGATTCCACTTCTTGATGTCTGAAAAAGCAGATCATTATCTACCACATTTACCCTTTAAGATTGTATTTTCCTGTTAATTGAGCATAATGTCACGGTCTTCTTATTTTTACTCAAAATGTTTTAATGCATTTGTTTCACATCCATCATTTTTTTTGTCTTGAATTTTTCATTAGTTCCTTTAACATTCAATTTCTGAACACTGATTTAGAATTTTTTGCTTGTTATATATTGTGCTTCTTGAGACATGTTGGATTTTCTTGTCATTTTGACACTCATTTACCACAATGAACTTCCTGTGAGAACACTGTGGCAAAGAAATTGTTCTCTCTGACAGTAGATGATTTTCATTATTTTTATTTTCCTCACTTTGGGAGCCCAATGCATGCACATTGAAATGTGAAGTAGCAGTGATCTGCAGCCAAGTGGGTCTAGGCTTTTTCCTAATTTGAACTCTTGCCAGCTCGTTATATTTGCTTCTTAGATTTAGAGCTAGGCAACTTTGTTTGGAAATATCATTTTTAATATTAGTATATTGCCAAGTGGCAAGATAAACATAGCATGGGGTAAAGGCTTATTTTGATATTTGCTCAACCTCGCATCTTGCTAGAGTTGAGTTCTGAGAAATTTTTCTTATTACCTACAGCATTTGTCCTTTAAAATAAAGCCAAATATACTAAGAAGCAACATAAAGCTAAACAAAGGAAAAACTCAGTATTCTCCAGGTCATGGTTCTTCAAAATATGAGATTGTCAGAAAACATTCCTTCCCATTTTTGTCTTACCTCCAATATTTTTGGAAGCAAAACAGTTTATATGTTTCAAATAAATTTATTTATCTATGGGGTCATCTCCTCTAGGTTTGGAAGTACTTGAAAAACCTAGACCTAAAGTTATACGTAAATAGAAAATGGGACCAGTTCACAGGTATAGCCATGCAGAATAATAGGTAACTGAGGCAGAAATCTACCCAGGGAGTATGGTGTTTCTTTATGGTGAAGAACCCTAAGTTTCATCAATAACCTCAAAGCCTGGAAGGAGTTGGTGGAGGCACCTGGTTTTGCTATAGGTGCCATTGCTACCAAATACTGACCTTGGTGAGAGCTGGAAGCCAGTAAGCCAGGAAAGGTCCAGGTATCTGTCCTTTAAGCCCTTCCCTGAATATCTCTGGAAGCCACAACTTTCATTTCCATTGTTGCCACTCAGCTCAGTTCTCAATATTTCAATAGTCTCCTAACAGGTGTCTCTGCCCCTACATATGACTTCACTAATCCATTTCCTAGAGTGCTGATCTTGAAATAAAAAGATGGTCATGCCACTCCCTCCCCAGAACAGAATAGCTTCCCGCTGTCTTAGGATAAAATCCAGTTCCTATGTGATTTGGCCCAGCCACCTGCTCCTGCCTCATCTGCTATCTTGCTCCCTTCCAGTCCTGTGGTCTAGCCACAGGGCCTCACTGGTTTCGGTTTCTCAGAAGCTCTTTGCTCCCACCTACCTCTGTCTAGGTTAGGCTCTTTTGTTATTGCATTTCATACAACCATATACAGTTGTCCCTCAGTTTCAGCAGCGGATTGGTTCCAGGATGCCCTGTGGACACCAAAATCCAAGGGCGCTCAAGTGCCTGATATAAAATGCCACAGTATTTGCATATAACCTATGCAGATCCTCGTGTGTATTTTAAATCATCCCTAGGTTACTTATCATACCTAATATAATGTAAATGCTACAAAAATAATTATACTGTTTTTAAAAATTTTTATTATTTTAATTTTTTTCTTCTTTTTTTTTTCCTGGATATATTCTATTTGAAGTTGGTTGAATCTGAAGATGCAGAAATGGCAGATACGGAGAGCCAAATGTATATAAACTTCCTGCAGAACACTCACATTTAATTTGTGATGGAGTATTCAATATTGTCTCTCTTTGATTAGTGTAGGGTCAAGAGAAGAGAACCTTTTATCATGGTGGTATCACCAGCACCAAACCCAAGGATAATGTTAATGTATTAGTCCATTTTGCATTGCTCTAAAGGAATACCTGAGACTGGGTAATTTTTTAAATAAAAGAGGTTTATTTGGCTCATGGTTTTGCAGGCTGTACAAGAAGCATGGTGCCAGCATCTGCTTCTGGTGAGGATCTCAGGAAACTTTCATTCATGGTGGAAGGTGAAGGGGAAGCAGGCATCACATGGCAAGAGAGGGAGCAAGAAGATAGAGCAAGAGGTGCCAGGCTCTTTAAACAACCAGCTTTCGTGTGAACTAATAGACTGAGAACTCACTCATTACTGTGGGAAATTCATGAGGGATCCGCCTCATGACCCAGACACCTCCCATTAAGCCCAGTCTCCAACTTTGGGGGTCACATTTCAGCGTGATATTTGGAGGGGACAGACATCCAAACTACATCAGTTAAAATGGTAAAATTTAAGTCGAAGTCTAGATTGATTTACCAGTTTCTGTTGAGGAGTTGAGGAGATCTTAGCTCCACTAATTGATTATGCTTGAATCATTGCCACCAAGAGACCAAGCAAGATTTCTGTTGTACCTCTTGAGTAAATTCCTGTTATGACAATGCAGTAAAAATTAGTTACGTTCTATAATATTTACTATGCAAATTTCATTGGCTTAATCTTCCTCTGGCTCAATGGCTGAACAGGTCCTCTCTCCCCTTTGAAGCATCCCTCAGCTTTTCCTGGAGGTTTCTACAGTGTAACAGTTGCCACCTCTCATCCCTCTGGGTCTTTCCCTCTTGCCCGGCTCCCTGGTTTTGATGTCTGTGACACTGGACACCACCTGAAGGAATAACACAGTGGCCTTCATTGACAATCACCACTATCCACACCCTAGGTGGTTACCAGGGTCCTGATATAAGCAGTCTTCTTAAATAAGGGAAAAGTCTGGCCCAAAGGTAAATGTAGGTCTCCACCCATAGAGACCAAAACCATTTGCAAATTTTGAAAAACAAGCAAACGACAACAATAACCACAAAAATCTTTAGGGTCCAGAAATTAGCCAGGACATAAAAAATATGCATTGTCTTATTTCATTGCCACAAAAATCCAATCAAGTCTGTGTTATTATTTCCATTTTACAGATAAGAAAAACTGGCCGAGCACGGTGGCTCAAGCTTGTAATCCTAGCACTTTGGGAGGCTAAGGCAGGTGGATCACCTGAGGTCAGGAGTTCAAGACCAGCCTGGCCAACATGGCGAAACCTCATCTCTACTAAAAATACAAAGATTAGCCAGGCGTGGTGGCAGGCACCTGTAATCCCAGCTACTTGGGAGGCTCAGGCAGGAGAATCGCTTGAACCCAAGGGGTGGAGGTTAGAGTGAGCTGAGATTGCGCAACTTTACTCCAGCCTGGGCAAAAGAGCAAAACTCCGTCTCAAAAAAGAAAAGAAAAAAGAAAAGAAAAAAGGAAAAAAAAAAGAGATAAGAAAAACTGAGGCTCTGGGACATTGAGTGACTTATTGAGATCACACAGCAGCAGGGCCATGAATCAAATTCAGATCTAATGACCTTAATTAAGCTTTTAGACAGTATTCTGTACTGCATGATGACAGTAATAGAAATGGTTGGTATGTCATTTATTTCTATTAGTCTTCCTGGGCCCTATATACCTGAATAATTCTGTGATGACAATATTAAAATAGGCTTGATTGAAGATAAATTATTTTCATAAAGATACACAGAGTACATTCTTAAGTGCTAGTTTCATCTTAATCTTTTAAATTTATACGTGTTCCCATTTAAGGTATTTTCTATTTCTTTTTATTTTTTTTCTTTAAAGAACTTTTTTTAGAGACAATGTTTCATTGTGTCATCCAGGCTTGAGTGCAGTGACACAATCATGACTCACTGCAGCCTTGAACTCCTGGGCTCAAGTGATCCTCCCACCTCAGCCTCTCAAAGCGCTGGGATTACAGGCATGAGCCACCATACCCAGCCTCTATTTCTTAATGTGGGTATTTATCCTTGTAACCACATAATCTGCTACCACCACACAGTCAGAGGCTTCTTTGTGTGGGGTCCCAAGGCCTGAATTGCCCTTCAGCTGCCCGTGCGATGCTCCTTGAGGACTCTGCACAGTCTCAGGTTCATGTGGCCAAGCCCGTGTTTATTCTGATTTGAGGGGAGTGTGGGAGTGGACTTCCTGCCAGAATCCTGCCCTGATATTCCAGGTAACTGACCACAAGCCATGGCCCTTTCTATGCTATTTATAGTGAGTGACAAAAATAGCCTCACCCCTCTGAAAGGCATACCTGTGCCATCTGCCCACTGGCTTCCTACAACCTGACAGGCACTTTCTCTCCTGACCTCAGGAGGAGGCAGGACTGTGTCCTCACACAGACCCAGGAGCACTGGGTCCCTCATGTGCACACTTCCTGCTCCAGAGGGACCCAGGGCTTCAGAAGGCACCAAAGCAGGGCTTCAGCTCAGGGGTCCAGGCAGAACCTAGTTATGGATGCAAGGAAGGAGGCGGGAACTTGGGGAAAGGGGAGAAGATAAGACCAAGTCCCATTGTTGGAGCTAGATACAAAGTCAGGCTGGGATCATGGGCACTGCTGGTCTGATTCTGAGCCATGGTTGCCTCGGAGACTCATTGGTCCTCAAGTTTGGGCTGGGGTTGAGTCTGGGGGTGGGAAGGTTAATGAACCCAGCTGAAGGGGCTGGCAGGAGATCCAGAGCGTAGACCTCACCTGTCTTTCTCTCTTTTTCTTTCTCTTTTTCTTTTTCTCTCTCTCTTCTTTCCCTCCCTCCCTCCCTCCTTTCCTTCCTTCCTTTCTTTCTTCCTTCCTTCCTTCCTTCCTTCCTTCCTTCCTTCCTTCCTTCCTTCCTTCCTTTCTGCCTTCCTTCCTTCCTTCTTTCCTTCCTTCCTTCTTTCCTTCCTTCGATAGAGTCTTGCTCAGTCACCCTGGCTAGAGCTCAGTGGGGTGATCATAGCTTACTGCAACCTTCAACTCGTGGGCTCAAGTGATCCTCCTGCTTCAGCCTCCTGAGTAGCTGGGACTACAGGCACATGCTAGGCTAATTTTTAAATTTTTTTTGTAGAGATGGGGTCTCGCCCTGTTGCTCAGGCTGGTCTCAAACTCCTGGGCTCAAGCTACTCTCCCACCTCGGCCTCCCAAAGTGCTGGGATTATAGATGTGAATCACTATGGTGGGCCCCAATCCTGCCCCTTTCTGGCTGTGTGACTGTGAGCAACTGATTTCATCTCTCTAAGCTGTTTCCCTATCTGAGGGGGTAGCGCTAGACAAGAATGTCTTATGCTCATGTGTGTACATCAGAATCACCTGGGGAGGTTGTAAAAATAAGGATGCCTGGACCCCTCCATGTGGGTTGATTCTGAAGGCCTGGGAGGATGATGCTGGGATCTGTAGGTTTGCCTGTTTCCCTAGGAGATTCTGATCCATGTCAGTGTAGAAAGCCCCTGTCCCAGATGATCCCCAAGGCATCTGTCTTTCAACCCTAACATTCCCTTATTCTAGCGTACACTAAATCAGGGATAAGAAAGCATGAAGATAAGAATTCGCTTCCTATGACAATTAGGCAGCATCAGAATCAGACACTTTATCAGTCACTTGTTATATCCCAGGAAACCCACTGGGAACTTATATTCAGAGCCAATTTTCTGTGTAGAAGGCTGAAACTCTGGCCTCAAGTTCATCATCCCCTCCTATCTTCTCTCCTGGGCAGTGTCTTTCTCCCTCATGGTTTGATGGCCATCTATCTCAGAAGTCACAAACTGGAGGCTCACAAGGCAAACCACAAGGCCCACAGGGCAGGCCACACTGAGTTTTATTCACTCTGCCCAGTATTTTTTAAAGTCTGAATCTGTCTGGTGTCTGGTGTCAGACTGGTATTTGCTGGCCAGTGCACCACAGGCCCACCACAACAACTGGGTCACACCCAGCCAGCTTCAACTCTTTACATTGCCTGTCCGGACCCTGAGTTTAGACCTAATTCAGTCTCTCAACTCCCGTCTCCAGCCCAAACCTCTCTTCTGATCTTCAGGCCCATCTATCCAATTACCTCCTGGTGAGATCATCCAGTTTGTGTGCTTAAAGGAAGGCCTGGCCTGTAGTACATATAGTACAGGGCTAAATAAATGTGAGTTAGTGACATTATTATTCCTGATGCTCACCTCTTCTTAGAATCTCACAGGCACCCAGCTCAGCCTCTTCAAAATGTCACTTCATTTTTTTTTTTTTTTTTTGAGACAGGGTCTCTCTGTATCACCTAGGCTGGAGTCCAGTGGCACAATCACAGCTCACTGCCTCCTTGACCTCCCAGGCTCAATTGATCCTCCCACCTCAGCCTCCCAAGTAACTGGGACTACCCAGCTAATTTCTGGTTGTTTTTTTTTTGTAGAGACAGATCTCGTCATGTTGCCCAGGCTGGTCTCGAACTCCTGGGCTCAAGCCATCTGCCCAAAGTGCTTGGCCCTCTGCTCAAAGCCACTGTGCCCAGCCAAAAGTTCACTTCAACTTGACTCCCTCCTCATCTTCACCCCAAGCCTCCCCTCCACCAATGAAATCATCAGCAAGATGCCTGAGACCGGAAGTCATCCTGGGCTCCTTCCTCTCCTTCACTCTAGTGTATCCCCAGACCTTCTGTAAAATCTCGCCTGAATCCATCCAGTTTTTTCCATCTCTTCTAGTCCAAGCCACCATTGTCTTTGCCAGGACTGTGGTAGAGGCCTAACTGCTCTCCCTGCAGATATTGCTGTTTCTATTGTAACCCACTGTTCAATTTGAAGCCACAGATCTTTTTACTAAACATAATCATTTAGTTTACTAAACAGACCATTTTACTAAACTGGATCTTGCTCTCCCATGCATACAACCCATTTATTGACTTCCCATTGCCCCAGGATAAAATCCAAATTCTTTAACAGATCCTTCCCAGCCTGGCTCCTGGGAAGGATCTCAACGTTTTTTCTAGGCAATATGTACAGAAGCCATCTGGGACTTCTGTTATCTCTGGGATGTGCCACAGTCTCTCTCTGGCCTCTGGGCCCTCACACGCATTTCTCTTCCAGGAAGACTCTTCCCCCTACTGTTCACTGGGATAGCTCCTACATGCTCGTCCTGTCTCAGCTTAGCTGTCCCTTCTTAGAAGGTCTGCCTGGACTTCCTAGACCAAGTCAGGCCCCTGCTAGATCCTGCAGAATCCCTGTGCTTTTCCCAGCATTGCGTTCATCACAATGCATCATAATCGCATCCAGTGATTGCTTCCTGTCTAGACGAAGGCTATATGTGGGCAGAGATCTTTACCACCTAGCTTGTTCACTGCTGTCTCTTCCATGCCCACCACATGCTTGGAATGTAGTAGGTGCACAATAAATGTTTGTGGAGGAAAGGAAGAAAAGGAGACGAGAAAAAGAAGAAGCAAAGAGTGGAAGGGGGCAGCCCGATTTTTCTTTCCTCTGCAAGCAGAAAGTAACACAGCTGGCATCTACTTCTTGCCAGAGGAGAAAACGGGAGCTGATGCTACCCAGATCCTTTATTGAGAACTCCTGAGGAAAGGCTGCCCAAAGATGTGTCCTCAGCATTTAACTAAGAGCAGGTGTGCAATAGAGATTTTGAATGAATTCACTCATTCTAAGAACTTACTGACCTAGACTATAACCAAATGTATAACCAGCCAGAAAAGTGTTTTTTGTATGTGTGTGTGATAAGACTTGAACAACTATTTGAATTTTTAAAAGTAGACACATATATATAAACTTTAATAAAAATTAAAACCTAAAAGAAAAGAATCAAGGGGGAACATTCTCACTCAGGAGCCTATTGTTACTGCCAACCAAATCAGGGCATGAACTTCCAAACATGGGGCATATTGCCTAAATGCGATGACACTGTTTCAAAGTCCCGGAACCACTTAAAAAAATGCAGTTCATCCACTAGACTGAAATGTAGATTTTGTTTTCTCCATCTAGAGATCCAGAATGGGGGAGAAAATGAGAACTTTGCATCAAGAGAGCCCAAAGTTTGGGTCCAAGTCCACCAGTTACTGCATGCATGTCTTTGGGAAACTTATTCCACCTCTTTGCTTTATTTTCTTCCCTGTAGAATGGAGAAACTGCGACCTGCTTTGCAGGGTTGTTTTGCAAACTGAGTATAAAATGTAAAGCACCTAGCACCGTCCTGACACATACCAGGTGTTCAGTAGACTGCATTGTTTAAATGCAATTCAATTATTTAAAAATATAATTGGGCTCACACAGAAAACAGGCTGCTCATGAAATATTGCTCTCCTAGTGGGAAGAGGCACGATTTCTTTACTGTCCAAGAGGAAAACAGTGGCAGAGAATAGAAAAGAAAGGTAAGGGAAATAAAAGCAAGTGATTTTGATTTTCACTGGATCTTGGAGTCATGCTGAAAATTAAGCAAGCCTTTTCTTTTCACCTTTCCCCTTTCCCTCTGCCCTAGACTAAATGTTTGTCCCCACTCCCCATTCATAGTTGAAACCTCATCTTCAGAGGTGAGTCCTTTGGGAGATGATTAGGTTCTGAGGACAGAGCTTTTATGAGTAGAATTATTAGGTTGGTGCAAAAGTAATTGCAGTCTTTGCCATTAAAAGTAATGTATGATGAGCTGATGAGCCCAGCTTCCATGTGAATTAAAAGCAATGGCAAAAACCGCAATTACTTACGCACCAACCTAATAGCACCTTTATAAGGGATCCCAGAAAACTCTCTCACCTTCTTCTGCCATGTGAGCACTCAGTAAAAAGACAGCCATCTGTGAACCAGGAGGCAGGCACACCCCAGACACCCACCTGCTGGCGCCTTGTTCTTGACCTTCCCAGTCTCCAGAACTGCGGGAAATAAACTTCTGTTGTTGATAAGCACCCCCTGGGCTATGGTATTTTGTTACAGCAGCACTCTCACAGTACTCATGAGGAAGACTTCTAAAGCAGGGAAGTGGGGGCAGGACGTTGGCAGAAGGAAGAAGGAGCCTCATTTATCCCACTGCTCATCCCTCTAGTGCTTCTTTTAAAAAAAATTACATTCAGCCATTGAAAAAATAACATGTTCTCTTATTTCAAAGGCAAATTATGTTCATTTGGGAAGATTCAAGTAAGCAAAAAGAAGAAAAAAAATTATCCACAATTCCACTGCTAGATAACTACTGAAAACATTTTGCAGCCTAGCTTTTCAACGTTTTTTCTAGGCAATATGTACATAAACCAACATGTTCTTGTATAATGAGTGAGATCACGTGGGGTAGAACATGCTGTTCTGTAACCTGATCTTTTCCATTGAACATCTTTCCACGTCAGTCGGTGGACGTATCTCATGGCACCATGGGTGACCGTGGTGTACCCTGAGGGGGGCTGGCCACATGACACTCTTGGTGGGTGCCCTCCCTGAGCAGAAACTTGTAGCTTGTTTCTGTTTTCCCTCCATGAACAATGCATCAATGAATAACTTTGTAGTCAAACTTTATACAAGCCGTAATTCTTCCTTCACAATGAACTCTCATAGTCAATGTTAATTTTTGTCAAGAGGAGAAGACAGTAAGACAACATGTCTCGATGCTTTTTATTTCCGATTCTGTTCAGCCTCCAAATTTTATCTCAAGTGTCACCTTGTTCCTATTAGACAAACTTAAAAAGTGAACAAGACCCAGCCCCTGTTCTTTGAGATTAATATCTAGCAGCAGAAATAAGAGACACAATAACTTATCTCTAATAAATGAGTTTCCCTTCTCATTTAGCATAAAAGCACCTGACTTTTCATTGTGAGAAGCAAGAGAACAAGAGGGACGTAAGTATTAGGTTGGTGCAAAAGTCATTGTGGTTTTTGCCATTAAAAGGAATTGCATGTATTAATAATAGCCAATGTTTAATAAGAACTTACCCTGTCTAGGAACTGTTAATATATTAAATGGTATACACTCGTCATTTAATTCTCACAATCAGCCTATGAGGTAGGTTATGATGTTAGATTGTTGTAGAGACTGAGATAGACTATATTTTAAGGGATCATTCTATAGTTCATTACTAGAGATTTCTCTGAACATGCAGAGCACTGTAAAATAAAAAATAAATAAAATAAAAAGAAACAAAGGTACAGGGAAGTTAAGTAATTTGCCAAAGGTAATTTGGTTAAGTGGCAGAGCTGGGATTTGGACCAAGGTCCTTTGAGGCTAGAGCCCTCTGCTACTGAAACAGGCTGCCTTTGGGCTGGGAGACAGCATCATGGTGCCCCAGAATAAGCATTGTGATCTAATCTTCTAGGTACTGTGGCCTGAAAACTAGCTTGCAGTCATCCTCCATGCTGGGGTTCAGGGTGGCCAATTGGTGTATCTACCACACACCTATCAGGTTTCCTTAGATCCCAGTGGCTGCCTTGGTTGTGGAGAAAGTTAGTCACTCCAGTGTGCATTACCTCCTTGCTCTATTTCCACCTAAGCCCACTGAGGAGCTGCCCTCCGTAGATCACCGTGACCTCAGTGATGCCTTTTTCTTTGGCCATCCCCTGCTGGCACAGTTTGATGCTCTGTCCTGTACCACTGGTTCTTCAGTTTAAGTCTTTGTGAATCCAGCCACCGGCAAGCCAACAAGCCTTCCAGAAGACTTCCAGAGGGGCCTCCTGCAGCTGATGAGGACAGCTTCCATATGAATCACACATACTGTACATGGAATTGTGTATGTCATAAAATAAAGTTTAGGTTATTCTCTAGACAATTTCTTTTGATTCTTTTGCATATATTTTTGACCTTAAAATGACTGTCAATTCATTAATATTTTTTATAACAGAGTCATCTAGCTCCATTGATCAAGTGCCTTCTTGCATCAAGGCTTGGGGCTAAGGGCTTTCCTCTCTGAGCCCTTGCAGTCACCTTATGAGGTAGGTACTGTTCAGACCTCCCTTTTACAGAAGATGTAAACTTCAGTGCAGTAAAGCCAGCTTTCTTTACATGTTTACAACAACCAACCAATAAACCTTTGACACTTTTCTGTTAAATCCATAACCTCAATCAGTCACTCATGCCATGGATTGCAGTCTAGAGGTAACTATGAATAAAATAAATCTTTGATGCTGAAATACATAAGGACCATACTTGAGGGTCATAATAAAAATGGCTGCCATTTGCTGAATGCTGAAGACACAGAATGCTTTACGGTCATTGCTTCAATCAATCATCATGACTGTTCTATACAACAGGTGTTATTATCACCATTTTCCAGATGAGAAAGTTGAGGTTTTAAAGAAGACAGCTGAGTCAGGTTCTAGTCCAAGGTCTGTCTCCACCTCAGTGCCACAGGGAAAACCATGGGTTTAATCTCCCTGGGCCTCAGTTTCCTGATTTGGAAAACATAATCCCCAGTGACCTTTTCCATCTGGATTCTTGAATGCTTTTTGCATGTATGGAGACTCTCCATCTGCTATGGAATTGAGTTCCAAATCCCTGCCACTTATAAATATCTTTGGAATACCCTCACCATAATAAAAACAATTGCGAAGTGCTATTCCTTTGTCATTGAGGCCATTTAGTTCAACCTAGTAATAGATTGATTTGGGGGTTTTAAAAATGCTTCACAGGAATAATTCTAAAGCATGAAAAGATGATTAAACAGCAGCCTGGTGTTTGCAGGCATTGATTACCTGAACTCTGGCACTTGACCTGCTCAGGAGGGTCAACAGAGAGCAATCCTTTTATGTGTGTGTCACTTCCCAGTCCTCGAACTCCTTGCACATGCATTATCTCACCTCATTTGCAGAGCTACTCTGGGAGCTAGGTATTATGATGATGATCCCCACTTTAAAACAGAACAGGCTCTTCAGGAGGAGGGTAACCTGCCAAGATCACAGCACTTCTGAGTGGCAGAGTTAGAACTCGAATTCAACCAGGACTTTGGACCCGTCTTTCCATGCTACCAACTCTGCATCTCATCACAGTAGTCCTGAATTTTCAAATGACACCATGCCCTCCCACCAGTTTTAAAAATTGTGGTGATAGCCCTGTTGGTTCCACTAAGAGGCTCCTGAATCAGAGGCAGTATAGTGGAGTGATTAACAGAGAGACCTGTATTTGTATCCCTTATCTGCCATTTATTTATTTATTTATTTATTTATTTATTTATTTTTGACACAGAGTCTCGCACTGTCACCCACCTGGGCTGGAGTGCAGTGCCGTGATCTTGGCTCACTGAAACCTCCACCTCCTGGGTTCAAGCGATTCTCCTGCCTCAGCCTCCTGAGTAGCTGGGATTGCAGGTGTGCACCATCACGCCGGGCTAATTTTTTGTATCTTTAATAGAGATGGGGTTTCGCCATGTTGGCCAGGCTGGTCTTGAACTCCTGACCTCATGATCTGCCCACCTCAGCCTCCCAAAGAACTGGGATTGCAGGCTTGAGCCACTGCGCTCGGCCTTATCTGCCATTTCTAAGTAGGGGAACCACATGTCTCTGTTTACCCAAGACGATCCTGGTTGCCCTAGCATCATGGCAGGCCATCCCCTAATACTTGTGGGCCCCATCATGGGAATAAAAAATGGAGGTCACTCTATTATTGTTCTTCCTACCAATGGGCTCCATGTAGGTGTGTCTGTTAGTCTGTTTTTGTTGCTGTAACAAAATACCTTAGACTGGGTCATTTATAAAGAATAGAAATTTATTTCTCACAGCTTTGTAGGCTAGAAAGTGCAAGATCAGAGCCCTGGTAGGTTTGGTATCTAGTGAAGGCTTCTCCCCGCTTCCAAGATGGTGCCTTGTTGCTGGGTCCTCACATGGCAGAAGGGCAAAAAGGAGGCCTAGCTAGTTCTCTTGAGCCCTTTTATAGAGGCACTAATCCTATTCATGAGGGCCCTGCCCTCATGAACTAATCACCTCCTAAAAGCCCCACCTCTTAATACTGTGAGAGGAAAATAAAAACTTGGGATCCCAATTCGCTCTGCCACAAGGGAAAGTTAAGCCGAAAGCTGAGTCATGCAAGAAGCTCCCTTTCCTTTTGCTCCTGAGCAGATACCTACCGATAAAAGTTAAGTATTTCCACAGGTAGCTACTTTATATTCCCCTTACTGTATGTAAAGTACCGATTTACTGAGCAGGAGACGAATACATAATTCACTATTCCCCTACCTGCTCTTTTTTCCTTGCAACCTGTGGATTTCCATATCCTATCTCACTCTTTCCCCTGCAGCCTCTTTCTCCCTTTAAATATTGAAGCCCTCGAAATCATCCTTGGAGAAAAGCACAGACCACAGGCTGTTTCTTTGATTCTGTGTTTTGTTTTGTTTTTTCCTCCCAGGCATGTCCTTAACCTTGGCAAAATAAACTTCTAAATTGATTGAGACCTGACGCATACTTTTTTGTTTACAATGTCATTGCCTTGGGTCTTAAGTTTCAGCAAATGAATTTTGGGTGATTCATAGATTCAAACCATAGCAGTGTGTGTGAACACCGCAGCCTGCAGGTTTACATCAAGTCCACCCCCCAACAGCTGCCCGTTGGCCATCCTTTGGGACTAGAGGTGGGCTTACCCACCATGTTGCCTGCCCTTTGGAAGATATACCTGGGGAAGAGGCTGACCCAGGCTTTGGAAGAGACTTGGGGTCATTTGGGCAGAGAGTTCTGGAGTCATCTGGGGACTTGGAGCATGGTCTAGAAGCAGGAGGCACTGGCTCTGAATGGGCAAAATTTTTTGGCCCATGGACTTCTCAACCCTTGGGGAAGAACATAGTGAGACAAGGAGTGGAATGAGTCTTTACTAGTCCCAAAGTGAGCAGAGCAGGTTGTCCAGGATTCAGGGAGATATTGATTAAAACTCCTCCCTTTCATTGGCAAAGGTGTCCTTGTCTGGACAATCAATTATACAGTCATCTCATATGTGAGTTGGGTGGCTTTGGGCATTACTTCCCTTTCTAGTTCCCTGATTTGTAAGATGGGAATCCACTGTGGTAACCACAGATGCTGCTCACCAGTGCTTTCAGCAGTAGGATCACACTCTCCTGCTCCCTTGAAGTTAGAAGTGGCCACATGACTTGCTTTGACTGACCAATGTCAGTGAGCATGAGTGACAGGGGCCACTTTTAGGTGGCAGCAGTGGATTGCCTGTGTGGGGTCTCCAGTGGATATGGTTGCTTGTGGAGATATCTTGCTGAGACCCCACACCACAGACAACTGGCCAGGCCACAGCTGGCTTTGCAAAAGCAAAGATTATACCTCTGTTGCTTTAAACCACTGAGATGTTAGCATTGTCTGTTACTGCAACATAACCTGGCTTCTCCTCTTTCCTACAAGTACCAATCTCAAGGGCTGCTGTGAGGGTTACATGAGAAAGAAATGTATGTATGTGCTTGGTATAGTTCCTGGTACAGAGCTATTAGTGTTTATCCTAGGAGCAATGAAATGCTTAAGTGCTCACTACACAAACACCTTTGAGGTAGAAGGTAGCCAATCCTTACAGCCATTTTCTTTGATGGACTTCTGTGGGAGAATCAGACTCCATTTTCTATTTTACATGAGAAAAATTATAGAGGTACTAAAAGCACATGGGGTGGTGCGACGCATTACACCTAGGGTATGTATCCCCAGCCATGGACCCTGGGACTGACCAGAATTGAGGATGGGGATGGTTTCTTTGGAAATAGCCCCAAGTTCATGTAAATCTCATGAGTTTACTGATGACACAAGGTTTCCAGCCAGTACTCAGACTTTTAATACTTCAGTGTGAGCCAAAGTGATGAACGTTATGCCACTCATTGGTTTTTAGTGGGAATTCTAGTGCTATAAACTCATTTCAGTACTTCAGAGACAGCCAAATCTCAACTGCACGTTCTTGGAGAAACCTGAGATTTCATTATGAAAGTGACAAAATAAATCTAGAAGGAAAAAAAAAAAATCCCGTCAACCACTCACTACCTCACCCCACGAGACATTTTAGCTGAGCTGCTAACAAGCAGCCACACAGCAACTGTTTGCTGGGGACTTCTGAGAAGATACGACTCACGCATTTGCTAATAAGGGAACAACTACCATATTCCAAACAGGTGAAGAAAACCTTCAGGTATGGCAGATTTTCTAACTACATTTTTGTGACACTTTTATTCATTCGAAAACCTACAGTAAGAGACGCGGAGTGTAAAATGTGTGTTTGTGTTTTGCTTGGACAGACAATGGCTCCTAGCAATTAATGCTTTCAGTCACATTAAGCATTAAATAATGCTTTGTGACATTACAGTATTTCCCATTACAGATCAATTTTGTAGCATTTGTTCATAATCAGACTTGAAATGTTACCTAGAAACAAAATATGTTTTCCTTGAAACAGTCAGACCTTATTAGAAATCTAAGGTTTTACAAATCACCATGTTAACAGTTTTGCCCCTAGCTAAGGTTTTCATTCTTTAGTGTTAAATTCAGCCCCAGAAGCTCTAGTATCGTTCAGGGTTAGTCTTCCAATGTGCACTGACTTGAAAGGAAAAAGTTAATGCTCCAAATATATTTAATGTCTTACTACATACAATAATAAATCAACTATATTCCTTTTTGGAGGTGAAAAATAATGTCATCACCTTTTAAATTGTTATGCTTATAATTAGGTTACACAATATTATTTTCTCATTTTTTAAAAAACAGCTTCTCATTGCTTTAAAAAAAAAGCCATATGCTTATTTCTAGTAAAGCGGAGTTATTCTCATTTCCTTACCACATAATCATATGCTGTGGATGAGCAAAGAAATAAAGAGAAAACATATGAAATTTTGAGATTTGGAGCAGCAAAACTTAAAGCTAAATGGAAGAGAACTTTGGAGCCAGGAACACCTGGAGTTGATGTCTTGCCTTGCCATTTAATCATTGTGGAATCTTGGGCAAATCGCTCAAAGTTCCCATTTAGCAATTGTTAGCTATTTTAATATTTTTTACAGAATTTTTTTCCCTGAGAGATATTCCCTTTGATTAAAGCCATCAGCCTCTCATTCATTCAGCAAATAATTCCTGAGCATTTATTGCTAATAGACTCTACTGTTCGCAGTCCCGGGAAACAGCAGTAAATCAGAAAACGAGACTGCTGGTCTCATGGTTTATATTCTAGCTTGGGAGAGACAAGCAATGTCCAAACAATATAATGTCAAGTGGTGTAGTAGGTTAGCTTGAATGAAGGCCCCCCACCAAAAGATATATCCACCTGCTAACCCCCAGAACCTGTGAATGTGATCTTACTTGGAAAAAGGGATGATGTAATTATGCACCTCAAGATGAGACCATCTTAGATAATCCAAGTGGGCTCTAAATCAAATGACAAGTGTGCTTATAAAAGACACACCAAGGGGAGACACAGAGAAAGGAGAGGAAGGCCTTGTGAAGACAGAGGCAGAGATGACGCAGTGGAGTGATGTAGCCACAAGCTAAGGAACTCCAAGGAGTCACCAGAAGCTGGAAGAAGCAAGGAGGCATTTTCCCTAGTGCCTTCAGAGGCAGAGCAGCCCTGCTGACACCTTGACTTCAGACCCTGGCCTCCAGAACCGTGTAAGTTTCTGTCACTGTAAATCCCCCACTTTGTGGCAATTTGGACAGAAGGCATGGAAATGAATACAAATAGTAATGCATGCCAAGAAGAAAATAAAATGGGGATGTGAAACCGAGATTCGAGTTGGGATTACTTTAAATAGTGGGGTCTGGAAAGCCCCCCTGAGGAAGTACCATGTGTTACCCGAGGGCGTGAGAGATGGGTATTCTGAATGTGAGGGGGCAGCAAGTGCAAAGGGCCCAACCTGGGAATGACCTTGGTGTGTCTGAGGACTAGAAAGTCTCTGGGGCCAGACTATAGGCGGTATGAAAGGGACAGTGGTAAGGAGATGATGCTACTGCTGGTAGGGGCCAGATCCCATAGGCCTCCTCCTACAGCGCCTCATAGGCCCAGGGAAGAAGTCCAGATTTTCCAGGTGCAACCTTTTTCAGGAAGATTTTATAGTTAAAATGACCTAGAAAAGTAAAGGCATTAAGTACATACATTTATTAAATTAGTAAATATGAGTCTATTCTGAACATTCTAGTAATTGGATGAAAAAAAACCCCAGAACCTTTATAATGTTATTCATGGGATCCAACCCCACTGTTTTATGCTATATGAATAATGTCACAAATAGCATCTGTGAAGTCAAACACCACAGGACACAGTAGAAAATCCTTAGGGGGATCCTTTATTTCATTCACTTCCTCCTTACAAGGTGAAATTTCAATCTGTACAGGTTGTGTCTGCCAGTTCAGTCCACAGCTCAGAGTATCACCTTGTCCTCATTCCATGGTATAAGCTGTTGCGGGGGGACAGGTCTGCGGGTCGTGGATTCACTGGACTGGATGGGACATGATCCAGAACTCCGCTCCGTTTGGCTTCCCAAGGATCCCACCAACTCATTCTAATCAGTGATCACTGAGGAAATGCATTGTATTCCTATTCACTATTTCAAAGATCAGGCCTACCTCATTGGCATATTAAGAAAGTTTTCTCAAGTATATTTAGTGTTTATCATTTTACTATAGTTCTTCAAATGTCTGACATTCATCTTTTCCCTACCTCTAAATTCCTTTCTTTTTCACATTATCTTTCTTGATTGCTTTTTAATAGAAAAACAAACAAAGACATGGATTTACTGTGCATATTAGCAGATCCATACTGGAAAATGCATGGAGGTTTCATATACACCACTTACAGTAAGTAATAACTCAGAGTATAAAGTCGAAAAGAAAGAATCTGAAATATTAGACTTGTTCTGAAATAAGCTTACCTAGGATGATACCACTTTCGCTTAATCAGAATTTCCCCTTTCCAACTATTTAACAGTGGCAAATATAAAAAATCTGGTAGTTAAAATACACAGCAGTCACTTCATATTACTGCCTCCCTCAACCCACTCACCTTCTGAAGAACAGGGCTTTTTCAAGTTTTGTTCCCCTTTAAGTTTTAATAGAAAAAAAAAAGTTTTAAGTCATGTTGTACCAATATATCCCCAGAAAGAATTGCAATTTACCAAGGTTTTCACGTGTTTTGAGAGAAATCTTACTGAAAGACTAGTGATGTCCATTTTCCAGTAAATACTGAGCGAAAAACAATTTTTATACCCCAATCTGAGGTATAAACTTGCTTTTTGTGGGATCACAACTGCTGTAAATTAGACAATTGTAGCAACAATCCAAGACAATAACAGAATGCCTATGACAGTCTGCCATATTCTGGTGAGTGTCTATCAAAGCTCATCATGATTTTTTGTGAGATCTTCCCCGTAATTGGTAGCTTGGCTTCCGACAAACATGTTCCAGTTCTCCAATATTTCCTCTTTAGTTAGCTTCTCATCCTATAGAAGAGATCAAAGAGCACTGTCATGGAAGCTCTGGTAACTGTACTAGTTCTGTATGATGTTCATGTCATTTCACTGATGTACAACATTTAAAATACTATATTTAGTAATCCAGAAGCTACTGGGCACCTCCTTCATCTACCATGACTGCATTGCAAAACTCCAAATCGGAACAGCCTCTTGCTATAAAAACCGTGCTAACGTGTCAGGGAAGTCCCCGAGTAATTCAGAAGCTAGAATCCATTTGTGCCCACAAGCAGTGTTGGTCTTCCCAAAATAGGCCCTCAAGAATGCCACTTTCCTCTTACAGCCTCGCTGCCTAAACTGACTGTTGGCATAACCTGAGAATTTGGGGGCAATCAGCAAAGTGGGGAATAGGCAGGACATTTTTCTAAATGTATTGATTTGTTTATTTGGATGTTTATCAATAGATACCGAAGTACTAGGCATTAAAGCCAGAAACCTGAGCTTGCCTGAGGATGTCTGGGCTTTAATGGGATGGGCTTCCTTGTTCCTGACACCTCACAGATGTTTGATAAGTATTTGGTGACAATGAATGGATAAATAAGCTGATCCTAGGGCAACACGGGGTATACTTCTTAAATCGTGTCCTGCCCACAAAGTTCTGCAATCTTAGGAAATGTGACTTAATGTAAGTCTGTGGCTCACAGCTGACTTTCCAGGAAAGTTGGGGCCTAATAATTTTACTGTGGGTTATCACGGTATTAGCTCAAGTTTACAGGTCTCCACTGTAGGACAAGAAGGAAAAGTCAATAAAGACATGGCCACATGGGTCAATGCTATCGCCGAAAAAGCAAACAAAACCGATCTTATGTAAACTGTCTCCCTTCAATCAGTGATTCCAGAAGAATGGGAAATACCTTGTTTTTGTCTGATTCATATACCAGATGCCTGGCCTCAGCCTGTGCATGATCATAATCTTGAGGGAGGATCCAGTGGCGAATCTCATCTTTGTCTAACTTCCCGTCCTTGTTCAGATCCCGGAATTCGTTAAACTGCTCCCGTTCTGATAAAACCCAGTCTGGCTCAGGGCCATTCTCCTCATGGGAAAACATATCCGCTAGAAGGGAAGGTTATTGTTGGTTACAAAGGAAAGTGGGAAGGTAAACCTCCCCCACCCCCATAAAACAAACTTGACCTCCTGAGCTTTAGGAAAGGCGACAACCAATCCAGAGACCTAACTCAAACAGCTGGTAGGCAGCTTCTTGGGGATAATGATGCAGTAATTTATTCATGATGAAGGCCATGTGGTGGAGTAGAAAGAACTGAGTTTAGAAGCCAAAAGATAAATCCCGGCTTTTGACTTAGTTCAGTGACTGAGCCTGAAGTTTCCTTGTCTGTAAAATGGAGATGATAATTTATAAATCATGGGGCTATTATGATCAAATGTGCCATTTTGATGTAAAAGCCCTCTACAACCCAAACTGGCACTACATAAGCGAAAACTAATAATAATGACTAACATTGAACACTATGGTCCAGATACTGTATAAAGTGTTCTACACACAGTTTTCATTTGATTTTCACATAACAGCCTTACAAAGTGAGTGCTGTTATAATTCCCATTTTACAGATGAAAACAATGAGGTAAAGTCTTACCCAATGACCCACAGCTCATATGAGCTGGAGGCTGCACAGGAACATGGTCACTCTGCTTTCAACCCAGAGTCTTAGCCACTGTGTTTAGTACTATTGTTTATATCATTTCCAAAGGGCTTTCACTTGTCATTATATTTCATCCTTATAACAATTCTACAAGATGGGTCATTATCCCCATTGTACAAAATGGCAAGGAAAAGAAAAAGGAAACGTTTTTGCATTGTGTGTGTGTCAGTAGCTCTTGGAAAAGAGAGATACCCTGCAGGCAGTTTCTCTGTCACGGAAGCAGAGCTTGGAAATGTCAGGTGGTGAATGAAGCAGGTAGTAAGTGAAGGAAAAAAAAAGACAAGACCCTTGACTACAAGGTAGACCCCTAACTGACATGTCTACATTGTTTTTGAGAAAGAGTTGTAATATGTATTAGCTAATTCGAGCTTCATCGAATCCTGTAAAAATGGGCTCACTTTTTTTCCCCCATTTTACAGATGAGGAAGCTGAGGTTTGAAGCCATTACATGATTACCCCAGGGTCACACAGCTAATTGGTGAAGGTAGGGTTCCTAATTCCAGTGCTCTTCCTACTACCACCCCCCACCACACACTTTCCACTTGGTGCCGCTTGAAGAGAAGCCTCCCCGAGAAGTGAAATGACGAGTCAATACATTGGGTTTCCTCTGCCTGTGAGTCACTAGGTATTCGATTTTCAAGCGCAACGCCTCCACCTCCCTCTCCCTATTCACTGTAAAGAATGGGATGCTTCTTTTAGGCAAAGCCACTCAAAGAGTTCTGCCTCTGACTTTGCACCATTTCAATGCACAGTTCCGGAGGGCTGGGCAGAGCGCACACTTTCAATCAAAAGCACTACATTGTTTGTTTTGATCATGCAGTCTTTGCTGTCAGTCTCATTTCATCCCCAGTGCCACAGTAAGAGGTCTGCGCCTCCGAACGTGACCCTCGCACGTGGACCCAGCAAGAGGAAGGCTCAACTGCTTGCTCTGATGAGGGAGCTGTCAGCATATGTTATTCTATCAGGGTAGTGCCACCAAGATCACTTTAATTACTGTGGCGAGAGCTACCTTGTCTGTTACCAATGACACACAAGGAACAGTGTTTGGCTCATGATCAAACATAATTTCTAATGATTAGAGGAAAGTCTGCTCTTCATTGCTGAAGGCACTTGTTCTCGTGTCTGGGATGGCAAAGTAATACAACCACAAAACCAGAGACAGCAACTCAGGCTCTGAGTTTTACATTTAAAGGTAATTAATGGCTTTGATTAAAAATCTGTACAAAAATTATACATATTTCATTTCTCTTTTCATAGGTCAACACCTAAACCAAATGATTTTCCAGCTTTTACTTTATTGAGACTTGGGAAAAGAGCTGCCATGAGAAGGGAGCCTGCAGCTGGAGCCATGTGCCATAGCAGGTGGTGAGGATCAAATGGAATTGTCCTTGTTGCCTGCTCTAGTCCTTTCTAGCGGGGGGTTGGGCTGGGGGGGATTTGGGGCTACCAGGAAGGGCTCTAACCAGCAATGGTGGGTTCAGACCCAAATACATTAATTTGACACTATAGGACTCCCATCCAAAGGATGGGAAACGAGGGGCACAAAATGAGCATATTATTGGGCAATTGTGCACTCTGTAAAGCATTTATCTTTCTAAGAAGAATGCCTTTCTGCAAAGTGCTCAGACACATAAACAGTTCTGTTAATCACAGCTGCATCTACTCAGAGTTTCTAGGCTCCATTGACCCAGTCCAGTTTTAGAGGCTTTGCCCTGACACTGTCTCCTCTATCTTCACTGTAAATCTATGGGATCTCCAATGTCCTTTTGCAAAGGTAAAACTAGGCAGTGTGATGAAGGGCACCTCTCAGAGTCATGGGGCCAACTGTTGGCCAGCCTTGTGTAGGGCCAGCCTTTTCATCTCTTCTCCACTGAATGAGGCCTAATAATACTTCCCTGATACTACATCACTAGGGCTGATGGGACAAGCAGGCTGGAAGCTCCCAGGAGTGACGTATAGACTTGCAGCTGTTGCTAAAAGAGACGTCTGGGGAAAGTAGCCAGACGTGTGGGTGGGGTCATGTGGCCCAGTCAGGACAGCTGAGCAAGACTCTAGGTCAGTACTCACCAATATACTCATCCTGATCCACAAACCCATCCCCGTTCTTGTCGATGTCCTCCAGGGTTTCCTAGGAAGCAAAAGGTAAAACAGAATGCAAGATGGCCATGTGCTCTAAGAAGTCTGAGAATTCTATTGTCCTCATTTGTCCAGCTTTTACGGCTGAATGCTTGGTGACTTCTGGCTCATCGCCTTACTTCCCTGGGAACTAGTTTTTTATCTGTAAAAAACAGGCAATAGTTTCTGTTCCTAATCCCCCACCCCAGTTTCCAGAGCAGAATGCTTTCTTCAAAGCAAGCAAGATGTACCTGTAACCCCAGAGGTGCTCTGACGATATCAGGAGGCCCTGCCAGGCCAACTAACTCCACCATCCAGCCAAAACACCCACTGGGGAACATGCGAGAAACCCAGTGTGAGAACCACTGGATTAGATGACCACAAGAATAGACTCTAGTGCTAACAGGACTATGAATACTGAGTTGGTGTCAAGAGAAATGTGAAACAGTGGGCAACTAAAAAATAAAAGTATATCTGACTTTTTGATGTATTGTGCTCTGTATTTAGTATACTTGACCTCTTATTCAGTATTTTTTG
Source organism: Homo sapiens (assembly GCF_000001405.40). Classification (NCBI taxonomy): domain Eukaryota; kingdom Metazoa; phylum Chordata; class Mammalia; order Primates; family Hominidae; genus Homo; species Homo sapiens. The sequence continues at coordinate 32,100,023 of NC_000011.10, read as the reverse complement.
ATTGGGTCAATAATTAAATGAGTTTACTGTTCATTGGCACAGCAACTCAGAGGCATCCTGGGTCAAACCAAAGAGCCAACCTGAGAGCAGAGAGCCACTCCCAAAGGCTCGTAGTCTACTCGGGATCATTCACCACCTGCACTGTCCTCTGCCACATTAGCTAACACTACATGAATGTTGAGTGGTAAAGAGAAATGATTCTTGGAGCCACTGCCCAGTCCTTACAGTCATGGCAGTCAGGAGGATGAAGCATGAGTGGACCCTTCCACCACCTGGATAACTAAAACCATCCACAGCTCGTGTAAACAAAAGCTCTAGCCATCTGTTTCCCAGGATTGAAACAGTTGGAACTGGGTTGGTGCATCTGCCCAGGAAAACAGGTGATGGCATTTATTTAATTGTCATGGAAAATGAAGACATTTGGGACCCAACAAGACACTACGGAAAGCAACTACATTCTGAGGCCTTACAAGCATAGTCATTCCTCAAAGCCTAGGGCCTGATCCACCCACCCTCCAAAGACCCACCCGCTAAGGGTAGCATCTCTTCCAGCCATAATTTTTACTTTACATTTCCATACAGTTTTAACAATCCAATTCATTCCATTTCTGAGTCTTTTTCCAAGTCCCTTAAAATTGAAAAATGGGGCAGAGACTAGCTAGTTGCTCACTTAAGCCATTTGCTCTTTCTTTTTTTTTTTTTTGAGAAGGAGTCTCACCCTGTCGCCCAGGCTGGAGTGCAATGGCACGATCTCGGCTCACTGCAACCTCCGCCTCCTGGGTTTAAGCGATTCTCCTGCCTCAGCCTCCCAAGTAGCTGGGATTACAGGCACATGCCACCATGCCTGGCTAATTTTTTTTGTATCTTTAGTAGAGACAGCATTTCAACATATTGGCCAGGCTGGTTTCAAACTCCTGACCTCATGATCCGCCTGCCTCGGCCTCCCAAAGTGCTGGGATTACAGGCGTGAGCCACTGTGCCTGGGCCCCATTTACTCTTTCTAGGCACGTATCTAAACTGTATTTCCCAGCCTCTTCATATCTAGGAGGGACCAGTGGAACATACGTGAAGGGGATGTGTCATTCCCTGGCCGGAAGAGTAAACAAAGACTGTATCTTCTCATTCCCTCTCTTTTCCTTTGTCAGCCAGCTGGGTGTTGCCAGGATGACTTTGAAGCTACAAGATGGCAGAGCACAAGCAGGAGTGCTTAGAGGAGAACTGGGTACCCAACTGTGCTCAGAGAACAGCCCAGGAGGTCCATCTGGCTGGAACAAGCTTTGCTAGTGTTAAATGGCTACAACTGGGGGCTATCTGTTACAGCAGCCAGCCTGACCTGACTAATTTTCTGGGTAGACGGGGATTCCAACAAACTCTACTTCAGAGTCCTTCTCCAATTCCCTTCAGGCTGAAAAATCTTCTCTCTTTGGAAGAGACAAGATTTGGAGGCAGTTTTCTCCCTGGTCTCTTCCCAGCCCAGACTCTTCACTTATCTTACCAAAACCACAATTTCCTTCATATGTTCAAACTCTTCAGGATGCAGAAAGGCAGTGAACTCCTCCCGAGTAGCTGTCAGGTCACCATTGAGGTCTGCAGCTTTGAATCTTCTCTCATCACGTGGCAGCATCTTTTTAAAGGTGTGATGATCTGAAGAATCATGAAACTCTGCGGGGTTTCCTGCAGGATGTATGTATGCAGAAATGTTTTTAAACCGTGCGGTCAAGAAAGGCGTTTCCTGCCAGATCACTCATCCTGCATGCTCAAATGGTACATATAGGGAAAAAAGGTCCCGACCTACTGAGTTCTTTAAAACATTCTATGTCAGAATGCCTCTAATATCAGTCCCTTCAAGCCACCCCATAATCTAGGCCTCATGGCATATTAGGGGAATTACTGCAAGTGGTTAAGAGCGCAGGCTTTAGACTATATTACTGCCATACTTCTCTTTGCAGAACTCTACTTTCATCATCTCATTCTTAGATCTGGAACATACAGAGGCTCTTTGGTACCCAAAACATCTTGTCTCAACGCCGTGCCTGGCTTTCAAGATCTCCCCGATTCTGGCCGCGTGAGTGCATCTTTGGTTCTCCTTGGGCCTGTTTCTTTGCCAACCTCACCATGCACCCAGCAGGTCTGCACCCCGTGCCTCTGTAATCTCATTTCTCCTTCCTTCTCCCGATCTTGTTTGTCTTGGATCTAAACCCTTCCCATTACTGCATGCATTGCTGCATCTTTGCCCCTCCAGTTGACCCACCTTCTCCAAATATAAATCCATTCTCCAAGGCTCCAGTTTCCAAACCACCCACACCAGGAAGCCTTCCCTGACTGCTCCGGCCCACTCAATCCTTGCTATCCAGAATTAGGCAGCATTTTGAAAATATACCACAGACACACTTCCTTTCTGCTTTCTTCTCCGTGTGTGCATCTGAGACGAAGTTGAGATGGGGTCTCAATCTAAGGGATTTTTTTTATTAGCCCTCACAGCCCTTCCCTCCCACCTGTAACTTCATTCAGTGTAAGCAACTCAGTACATTCTGAGTTTACAGAGGAGGGTGTTATACAAGCAGGTTCTACTTAGGAGGCTGTGACATCTCCCTGAAGGGAGTGGATATGATAAGAGAAGAGAGAGTCTACAAAAAGCTTGTGATCTGGGCCCCCACTGTGTCATCGCTCCTGCAGCACCTCTTACCTAGGTAGTAACCATAGGTGGCTTGTTTGTATTCTTCCCAGGAAATTTTATCATCCTTGTCCCTATCATAATCCTTCCAGACTTTGGCGACATTATCAAAGATGTATCTTTTCTGCACCCGTTTGATCCAGGTTTTCAGCTCCTCAGTAGTGACAAAGCCATCCCCATCATTGTCGATTCGATCAACAATCTTCCTGCAGTACAAAAAAAAAAAAAAAGAAACCCACACACAGGCACAAGGCTGTTATATTATCAAGGCTTGTGTGATGCTGGTCCAGCAAAAGATCAAACACCTGCACAATCCAAAATGCACATACAACTACAACAGAATCAATGATCCAAGGAGGCTGGAAGGAATCTTCAAGTTTATCCTTCCAAGGTTGATGTGCTTTCCCCCAACCAGTGCTGATGGCAGACACTGCTAATGGATCGTGCCCCTCTGTCCTGATAAACCTAGAGGTGCTCTCAGAATTCTCAGCACTGTGCTCTGGTGATGGCCATTATCAACGGATCAGAGCTGATCTGTAAGATGAAACCTATTAATCTTCCCTGCTGTAGTCCAGCACCCTCATTTTGGAGTAACGGAAACTGAGGCCCAGAGAAATGGAATAACTTCTAAGATTACACAGCCAGTATTTGGTAAAACTGGGGTGAGAACTCATGTCTTCTGGCTTAGGTCCAAGGCAAAAAGTGGAAACTGTATGTAAATCAAAAGATAAGTGATTTTTTTTTTTAAATCCCACCACCATGGATACAAAGACTTGAAACGTAAAGCAAGAAGACACCAGATGGTGGACACAGCACAAATGTCAGGGCTGAAGGAGCCTTGACATCATAGAATCTATTCACAAAACTTGACCAGCTGATCCGCTCTAGGAACCTTAAACCCTCTGCTCTTAGGGTAAAGACTCCTATACCAGCTCCACAGCTGGCCTAGGTTTCACAAATTTCCCACTGAACTCCACTGAGGTACCCTAAATGCTAGCCCAGAGCAAACTTCAGGCTGGGAACCCACTTTTGTCATCTCTAGACCAGATGGTCCCAAACCAGGACAGCATCCCAGTGGGGAACTTCAAAAACACCTCCAAGCTATCCCCAGTGTTTAAAAAAGTTTCACCCTTGTAGTCCATTTATCTGGGAGGAGGTCATACAGGCTAACTCTAGATTTCTTTCTTTGTTTTGGGCTGGAATTCTAACAGCTTCAGTGGTAAAACTTTCTTGTCAACAGACATTCTGAGTGGCAATTAATCTTTAATTAATAAAAAATGGGAAACAAATTCATCAGTTTGATAGTTTGACAGAGAAAATCTCCTATAACTTTTTTTTAGGTGGGGGAGGGTGTACACGAGAAGGGGAGGAGTGAATAATCAATGTCTCCACCTCCTACCTGAACCCAAGAACCCAAGCTCCTCTTTCTCAGGAAGGTGTAAACATCACCAACAGCTTGAAAGTACCCCTTCATTTGCAAGTTTAACAGGTCTCAATCCTAAAAGATAGGCTGGATCTGTGATCCCAGTGCTTCAGGAGGCTGAGGTGGGAGGACTGAGGTAGGAGGCCAAGAGTTTGAGAGTAGCCTGGGCAACATAGTGAGATCCTGACTCTACAAAAAATTTAAAAATTAGCCAGGAATGGCCGGGCATGGTGGCTCACGCCTGTGGTCCCAGAACTTTGGGAGGCCGAGGCAGGTGGATCATGAGGTCAGGAGATCCAGACCATCCTGGCTAACACGGTGAAACCCCGTCTCTACTAAAAATACAAAAAAATTAGCCAGGTGTGGTGGCGGGTGCCTGTAGTCCCAGCTACTCGGGAGGCTGAAGCAGGAGAATGGCGTGAACCTGGGAAGCTGAGCTTGCAGTGAGCCGAGATCACGCCACTGCACTCCAGCCTGGGCGACAGGGCAAGACTCCGTCTCAAAATAAAAAAATTAGCCAGGAATGGTGATGCATGCCTGTAGCTCCAGCTACTCAGGAGGCTGAGGTGGGAGGATTGCCTGAGCCCAGGAGGTCGAGGCTGCAGTGTGAGCTATGACTGTACCACTGTAAACAAGCCTGGGCAACAAATCAAGACCCTGTCTTTAAAAAAAAAAAAAAAGACTAAAACATGAAACTTCAAGTGTCTTCAGGCTTCTTCCCCCAGGAAATCATAGCCAGACACAGCAGAATTCTTTTAACATTGTGCAGTGTTGAGCCCAGTTATGTGCCAAGCACTGCTCTGATCCTGGGGACACAGTGGAGACATGCCAGTGGGTTACCCAACGCCAACTGGGAAACATAATCTCAGGGTAATGACATCAGACTCTACAATCCTCTTTTGTGGAAAGGACAGCATCTAATCTATGCCAAATAAACATCTAGGACATAGCTCAGCCTGACAAATATTAGGGACTCAATAAATATTTGTTGTAAGAATAAATAAGATCTTAACCTTCTCTTTAACAATGTCAAGGGAGATCCTGGGAAAGGCAGCTAGGATGGAGATGAAGCCTAGCACTTTCATCAGAACACCTGGATCCCCGTCCTGCCTCTGGTCCCCATTATCTGCGTGATCTTGGGCAAGTGTCTTGACTCTCTGAGTTTCCCCATCTGTAAACTGAACACCTACTTCACAAGGAATGTTGTGAGGAATAAAGGAGAGAATGCATGCTTTTCCTCACTAAAGACAATAATCTAGATCAGTGGCTGATGGTAGCTGCTACACAGTAGCCATTCGGGTGTTTGTTGCATGAATAAATGAATGAAGTTAAGGTGTTGATGCAAGGAGCAAACCCAGACCAACTCCATCATCATTTGTTCTCAACACCAACAGGTAACAGAATGAGCAAAACCTTTTGATGGGACCTATGGCCACTTGGAGGTACCCTGCTAGCCGCCAAATAGGGCTGGCCGACTCTGCTGCAGACGATGACTGACACATGGGAATAAAGGTGTCAAGAGAAGCCAGATATGGGGGTCTGTATGTGAAACCATTCAAACTTTAAACGTGGGCAAGTAATTTACACTGTGTCGCATATTTATGAATGCATGCAGCCTACGGGTTCCCACTTTGCAACCTCTGGTCCAGGTGTCTTTAGGGGCCTTAGAGCTGTCACATTTTCAGGACTGACAGGTGATGGTGACAAAGTTGCCTAGATCCAGCCACACTCATTCCTCCTCAGCCCAATCTTGGAGGGGACCACTGAAACAGAAGCTTTGGACAGAGGGGCAGCTTCTCACACTCAGCCCCATCCCAAACAGGACCCATAATTTCCAGCACCTCCTACCCCGCCTCTACCCCACATTTAACCTACAAGTGAATGGTGCATCCATCACCCATCTGGTGGCTAAGGCCAGAGACCCGGATGTCCCCTTGATTCCTACCTCTCTCTTCTCCCCCTCATTGAGTCAAGAGCAAGAGCTGCCAGTTCTGCCTCCCACTGGTGTCTAGATTCATCCCCTCCTGGAATCCGGAGAGACCAAGCCCCTTTGGCATTCACCTCCTCTCCCTGCCACTGGTCTAGTCTGTGCCTTGATTATGTTCTCTGTGTACTGCCCTCCTGCCAGCCTGACTTTCCCAATGAGTTTTGGGGATTATGACATTTTGACAATGTACAGGATAACATCTCATGTCCATCTCACCAAGGTCCTTCCTGCTCTGCCCTTGGTTTCCCCTCCATTCTCACCTCTCACTTCCCTTCCCTGCCCCTTTGCAGACTCACCACCCCTCATGCCCCAGAACGCTTTTCAAACCCTTTAGAAATGGGCTGTTTTCTCTTCAGGAAGGCCTTCCCCTGCTGTACACCTGGCAACCTCCAAGTCATCCTACAAACTCTGATCAGGTGACAGCCCCAATCCCCTCTCTCTAACCTGCAGCCTTGGCGGCTCCTTCTCCTGAATGTGCTCACAGTAGGTTTTATAGGCCATCATTGCAGCAATTGTGCATAATGGCTAGTTTGTCTGTGCTTCTCTCCTCCACATTTGCTTACAAGCACTTCGACGCCCAGAGCATAAGGTTTCATCTTTGTACCTGCCAGTTATCTAAACTGGGGCCTGGTACACAGTAGCCATTCAAATGTTTGTTGCATGAATAAATGAATGAAGTCAAGGTGTTGATACAAGGATCAAATCCAGACCAACTTCACCGTCACTTTTTCTCACTACTAGGCTGAACTGTCACAATGAAGGCATTAACTGGAAGCTGCATGACCACACCTTATAAAGTTTTCCAAATCCCAAAACCTCTCCCTGCCTCCTCTCCAGTGACAATGTGGCTGCCACTCAGGGCTCCAGGATAAATCAGTCTCCAAGTGCCTCAAAGCAATACAATAGACTGAACTCATCAATGGCCCCTATTGTTAAGTCCTAACTGAGAAGAGAAAGTACTCTGCAAGATAAAAGGTAATTGTTTGGAGGTGACTTTGAAGTTCAAAGGTCTTTTTATCAGAGCAGGCAAATGGTGCACCTACACAATAGGTATAATTTATCCTCATATTCCAATGAAACACTTTGGCCTTTGGAGGCCCCCAGGAGCACAGGGATGGCTGTGTTCTCTTTCATGTGGCAGAACATGAAGATCCTCCACCCCCAGGAATCAGGTTCAGGGAGATCTGAGACCTGGTGCCCAATAGGCAGGACTGCTGGTTTCTTCCCCAGCCCTGCCTCCATCTGGGACCAGGCTGCCTGCTGGGTCCTCTGTGCAAGGACCACCAGATACCTCCGCACAGTGCCCAAGTGTTTCCTCAGGGGACCCGGGGAGGGTGTACTAAAATGCGCCGAAGTTTTGTTTCCCGGGTTTGGTTCCTGACTCAACTGCCTTTAACAGCCCAAGTCAAAATCCTCCACCACCAAGAGAACCCTCCAGCTTTTTGCCCCCCAAACAAATCAGTTGCCAAAGAACTGAGTGCTTCTGCAGACATCTGCTGCCAACAGAAACGTTTCAGGCGAACCGTTTCCATTCCTGCTCCCTCGTGTTTCCAATCGGAAACTGCGTGTCCCTTTTCAACCGGATTTTTGTATCCCTACACTAGATTTTATTTTATTTTTATTTTTATTATTTTTGAGATGGAGTCTCACTCTAGCCCCGGCTGGAGTGCAGTGGCGCAATCTCGGCCCACTGCTACCTCCGCCTCCCGGGTTCAAGCGATTCCCCTGCCTCAGCCTCCCAAGTAGCTGGGATTACAGGCGTGTGCCACGACGCCCGGCTAATTTTTGTATTTTTAGTAGAGACGGGATTTCGCCGTTTGGTCAGGCTGGTCTCGAACTCCTGACCTCAGGTGATCTCCCCACCCCTCCCCCCGCCTCGGCCTCCCAAAGTGCTGGGATTACAGGCGTGAGTCACCGCGCCCAGACTCCTTACGATAGATTTACAGGGCGATTAGGCAAAAGGCAAGACCACTGCGGCCGAGACCAGGAAGCAAGCCTGTCGCTCGCCTGCCCCTTCATCTTTTATCCATTTATGTTCATCCCTGAGATTTTCTTAGCGAGTGTCTCAAGCCCTTCTCCCCGGGAGTGGGGGATCAGAGAGAAACTGCGAGAGAGTGGGGAGGAACTCATGGCACTAACAGGCCACTGTGGACAAACTCTTCTTTTGTGCACTCTCCCCTCCCTTCTGATGCAACCTGGGGGAGGGGGCGGGCCCTCGCCGTCCTGGCTCCCGCGGCCGCTGCCACGTTCTCGCCTCCCCGCGAGAAACCACCCCGGCCGGGGCGCGGCGGCGGCGATCTCCAAGCTGGGGTCCCGGGGCCCTCCAGCAAGTTAGCCTGAGCCCCAGCGCCGAGTTGGGCAGGGCCCCATCCTCGAGGCCGCGCGCGCGATTTCGCTTTCGCTTTGGCGGTGGTATCCCGCGTGGCTCTCGCCCAGGCGGCCCTCGGACACCTGCGCCGCCCCCCACGGGGCCCTGGCCGCGGCCTCACCCTAGCCTCTCCTTGCTCTCGTCCGGGGTGAGCTGGTCGAAGGTCTTGGAGTCCTCCTTGCCCAGGAAGGCCTCGTGGTCGTACTGGAAGCTCTGGTTGTCCTCAGGGGGCCGCTCGCCCAGCTCCGAGTCGGGCCGCACCACGCGCTCTTTGCGCACCGTGGGCTTGGCCCGCAGAACCCGCGGCGCCAGCACCAGCGCCAGCAGCAGCCCCAGGGCTAACCCCAGGCGGCGGCCGCGGCCACCGCGCGCCATCGTCCCGAGGAGAGGGCGGCCGAGAGGGAGACGCTGAGCGAGCGACAACAGCGGCAGCTCGGGAATGGGGACTCGGAGCGCGGCGGCAGCGACAGGGTTGGGGCCGGCGCGGAGGAGGGGACTGGCCAGTCCCTCCGCCAGTGCCCGCCCCGAGCCGGAGCAGAGGGGCGCGCCTGGGCCTCGGGCTGGGAAGCTGCGGGCGGCCCCGCTCGCGCGCCCATTGGTCGCTGAGCTGCCGGGGGAAGCCGGGGCCGCGGAGCCACGTCGCCAGCTGGGGTGGTGGGCGCGGGGCTCGTGTTTCGCCTCGGCCCCTCCCCGCGATCTTGTTGCTAGGGGCGGGCCCGGGCGAACTGGGCTAGGGACTGGAGGGCTCGGAGGAGGATTGGGAAGTTCTTTGTCAAGCAACAGATGTGCAGGATAAAATTCCCTCTGACTTCCTACAGTTCCGGGAAAACTGTAAGGAAGGAGACGTTGCCCTTCCTCAACTTCCAACTGAGACCCCGAATCTCAGCCCTAGACCCTGCTCTAAGATGTGCTCTCAAACCCAATTCAACCCCATTTAGTAAAATTTGGAGTCTGGTTACAAACGCGAGCCTGGAAGGAGACCAAGACGGGCGAAGTCCCCTAGAAACGAGGGTCGTACTGTCAGTCGTCAAGGAGGGTCAAGCGGGGAACTTCTATATGACCAAGAGTCCCTCTAAAGGGAGCGGTACTGTGCGTTCCAGCTGCCAGGGGAACGCAGGCCCCACGCTGATAGATAGTCCTGTTTCCCAAATGAAATCAATCAGGATTTTAGATTTTTATGTTTTATTTCTAAATGTTGGTAACTCATTTTACAAAAGCACTAGTTGGATCCAATCTTACCTGTATTCAGTTGGTAATGCTACCAATACAGATATCTGTCCCATCAAACTTTCTGCAATGATGGAAATGCCCTCTATCTGGTCTGGCCTGTAGGTAGTGGCTGTTGAGCACTTGATGTGTAGCTTAGTGTAAGTGAGGCACTGAAATTTTAATTTAAATCTAAACTTAAAGAGCCACACGGGACTAATGGCTACCGTATTGGACGGTGAGGTCTCGAGCAGTCTCAGCCTTTTGACACTCATTGAAAGCCATGATCCTCTTCCAGAAAAATGCACATACAGCTACTGACACGGGTGCTTGATTAAAGAGTCGGAGGATTCATGGATCTTTTGAAGCCCCACCTATGAGCCCCAGGTTAAGAATCCCTAGAAGGCCGGGCACGGTGGCTCATGCCTGTAATCCCGGCACTTTGGGAGGCGGAGCCAGGTAGATCACTTGAGGTCAGGAGTTCGAGACCAGCTTGGCCAACATGGTGAAACACCGTCTCTACTAAAAATACAAAAATTAGCTGGGCGAGGTGGCGGGCGCCTGTAATCTCAGCTAGTCGGAGGCTGGGGTAGGAGAATCGCTTGAACCTGGGAGGCGAAGGTTGCAGTGAGCCGAGATCATGCCATTGCACTTCAACCTGGGAAACGAGAGAAACTCCATAAAAAAAAAAAAAAACCCTAGAAAACTGAAACGATAGTTGAAGAGGGAAACCCACCATGACAGCTAAATATCTGTACTCCTAGAAATTTCCTCCATCTTGCCTTGCCTCCCACCTCCATCCCTGATGTTTTCAAAAAGGTCTGGGATGTGCTTCTTGCCCTTGCAATAAAGATGTCGTCGCAACATAGACGCAAGTCCCTTTCTTGGGACGCCCTCTTTCAATCAATTAATAAATCATTACTGTCTTACTACTACAGCCTAAGCACTGGACTGGGTGCTGAGGGTACAATGGAGAACAAGATAATCATGGTGTCTGCAGAGCTATAGTGTATATGAACAGATGTTCATTCGTTCGTTCGTTCCATAAACTGAGCACCTGCTAAGTGTCAGGCTGTGCTGGATTCTGGCTAACTGAGATCCATGGATCACAAGTCAGCATGACAAGTGCTCACAGAGAAAGGCATGTAGTGGTCTGGGGGTACTGAACCGATCCAGACATGGGAATCAATCAGGGAAGGCCTCCCAGAGGAAGACACATTTAAATTGAGACTGAAGGTGAGTAAGATAAGCTAGATGGAAGGATGTAGTTATGTGAGAGAAGGATAAGATCCTGTACGAGCTAGCAGAGGACAGCTCCACATTTGAGGCAATGTCTTTGTGACCCCACTGGCTGGCAGTGAGAGCTGGGAAGCCAGTCCTTGGATCCCCGCTTCTCTTCCTAGTCCCCTTCTTTTCCTTGGATCCCCCCCTTCCCACCAGCTGACTTTGCATGGCACAAGAAGTACTGTGCCTGAGACCAGACATGCTTCCCCCAGCCAGCCTAGAGATCTGAATTTCTAGCAATAGAGGAGCATTACCTTGGGGGTGTAAGAGCTCCCTGCTGAAATGCAAGTGTCCTAAGGTAGGCGGTTTAGTACCTTCTGTGCTCATCAGGCAAGCAGGATATGAATTGTTGAGTGAGTGAGGGAGGAGAAGGAGGAGTGGGAGGAGGAACAGGGAGAAAAAGATTGGGGCTAGAAAAAGAAGGGGACTAGGAAGGGAACGGGAAAGCGAGTGGAGACTGGTGACAGTTTTTGCATATTCACAACTTTGGCCACAGGCTGGCCTGGGTCCCTGGGATTGGTCCAGACTCTCCAAAAAGGCATATCTTTTGCCCTTGTTATAGTTGGCTTCCTGCCAGACACTGGTGGTTTCCAACAGTTAGATTGTTTCAGAGGTAGTCTTGGCTCCTGTGGGAATTACCAGAGAATTCTAGCACTGCTGTGAATCCGGAAGAATTTACATAATTTCCCCTGGGCTTGCCTACACTCTTTTCCTTTATATTTATTTTCATCCCTCCACCCTACCATAAGAGTTCAAGTCCTCCCAATCAAAGGTTCAGGAAGGATGATGGGACAGAATAGTCAAGGTATTGCACTGTGTAATTGCTTTCTTTCATTTTCAAAGCTGTTTTGCATCTCCCCCCCATGTGCATGTTTGGGAAGAGTGACTAAGTGCATTGTCATGCCTTAGGTCTTAGGTTAACCTCCATTCTTGATGAAGCAGAGGAACAAGAACAAGATAAGTAACATTTAGCAGAGGGTTGATTCAGTGAAAAGGAAAAGCGAGTTTCAAATGGGTAAACTGATCAGCTTAGGGTATGCTGGTCTCCCGCATCTGGCCAAAAGTAACACCATCAACTACAACAAAAATCCAACCAGAAGTTACTGAAACAAGAAGAAAACTTTACCATCTCATGCAACAAGAAGTCATGAGTTATATTGGTTTCAGATTGGTTAATTTCAGTGGTTTCAGGACATCATCAAGGAATCAGGTTTTTTTGTTTTTGTTTTTGTTTCTCCCTCAGAAACAGTAGGGGAAAGGAATGTTCTCTCCCTTTCTTTGAAAAATAAACTTTCCCAGCAGACTGTCCCTCATATCTCATTGGCCAGAATTGTGTCATGTGCCTATGCTGGATCCAGTGACAGGCATGGGGAATAGAAATTCCATGATTGATTTCAACCAATCAAGACTCACTGGTAGGAGCTGGAAAGTACTGTATGTAGCATCCTCTGAAGCACATGATTAGGGTTCTGTGGGCGAGGAAGAACAAGCCAAATAGCTGTGTCTGCCACATGTTTAAAAGCACTTTCAGCATCTCTACCTCCCTCCTGCTTCTCCACCATTCAAAATTACATGAACTTTTCAGGTCCCAACTCAAATGTCACCTTCTCCATGAAGTTTTCCCTTATACCTTAAATCAGAATTAATTATTTCTTCATCAATATGCCCAGAGCCTTTGTATCTCACATACTTCTCACAGTCAGCTTTGTATTAATTTTTCTTCCCTTCTAATTCTGAATTCCTTGAGAGAAATGATCACAGCCGATTCATGTCCATGTTCGTAAATCCAGGGCCTACCATATTTACTGCCTTCTGGCAGAAGTTGATCGCCATAAGACAGATTTGCTGTGAGACCAGGACCATATTCTTTTGGCTCACCACTGTATACTCAACCTAGTATAGTGCCTGGCTCATAGTAGGTGCCCCTAAAATATCTTGAATGAATGATAAAATAACAATAGCTACCAACTTCTGCTTCTGGTCAAGATGGAGTGAAGGAGGGACTGGATTTATCCTCCCATTTGAAACAAACAAACAAAATATATGAAGCAACAGTTTTCAAGACACTGGACACCAGGCAATGAACAACATTGGAAACAAACTAGGTGAGTCCCAGGATTACCCCAGAATTACCTTGGCAGAGTTGCCAGGTCACTGTGCAGAGAGGGAGAACTAAGATGGATCCTGGCAGACTCCTGAAGTTGAAAAGACAGAAGTGAGTGTCCAGAGAGACCAAGTCAGCCGTGGTTCTAAAGAGAGAGTACTGGAGAGAAGATGGCTGCACAGAGAGAGAATCCCAAAGCTCCACAGAGGATCCCCTTGGCCATTCAGCAAAGTGGTGAACAGTGCATGCGTGTAGGCTGAGGACTGAGCCATCTGAAAGGATTAGAAGGAACAGTGGGTGCCAGGCATGGTACCTGTTCCCATCAGTCAGACTGGAAAAACTCATCATTCATGGGGCACTGGGTACTTAGTAAGGTCTTGCCTCAGTGGTGGGGAATAATTAACCCTAGACTGAGCACTGCTCCAGAAAGTGCCTCTCAAAGCACAAAGGCAAGACCTGAAAAGCTCAAGAAAACATACAAGAATTAAAAAAAAAAAAAATTTGGCACCCAACAAGGTGAAATTCACAATTTGCATTATCCAATCAAAGACACAGCAAGGCAGGAAAACACAGCGAGGAGAATAATCGGTCTGTAAAAACTGACCCAGAACTGACACAGATATTAGACTTAACAGAGAGGAACATTAAAACAATTATTGTAATTGTGTTAAATGTTTTAAAAGTTCAGAAGAGCCAGAGAAAATACAAAAAAGACACAAATTGAAAGCCTAGATAGCAAAACTTTGAAATCTGGGATGAAAAATACACCATATAAGATTAACAGAAGGTTAGATATTGCAGAAGACAATATCTTTTTACTAATTAAATACTTTATTGAATAAATACAATAGCAAAGAATGCATTCAAATGCTTTCTAAAAAATTAATTTTAAAGGTCTTTCTATTCAGACTAATGATAAACGCAGTAAAGGCAGATGTGCTAGTTTAACATAATTGGCTTATTTCATACAGCACTTTTATCTTTTAGTCCACAAGTATATTATTAAATGATAGAGAACATCTAATGCAACCATTTCCATGGGACTAGGAAATACATTTCTAAGAAAGAAAGATGTTATAGACCCCATCTTTTATACCCACCCCCTCAGTCTAACTCTAAAGAAGATAAAAAAATAATGACTATCTTCACAAGGGCTCATGACTAATGTCACTTTGCTATCAAAATCTGTATCTCTGATCGATTTTAAGCATTGAGACAAGATTCAAATATTTCCAAAGAAAGAAGCACAATGCACATTGTGGTCACTTATTCAGCAACAACGAGCACTGCATCCAAAACTATCTCACTTCGGAATGAAATAAGGTCAGCCACATGCATGGGCATCTCTTCCGCTATGGTATCGTAGAAAGTCTCAGTGTCATGAACAATCTATTTGTCTTCTTCAGTAACAGTTTATATCCACACCTTTCTTCCCAAGTCGACCCCCTCTGCCAATTCTTTGTTCTAATTGTGTGCTGTCTCACTTATGATTCCACGTCCTAAATTACATCAATGCCATTTCTGAGTACCATCTTGCCATCAACTGCTGCTGTCGACTCCTGTGAATATAGTTTTCACAATTGGTAGGTAGATCACAGTTTGTAACCAAAGACACTCATTGCTCCTCCATCCCACAAGCCGACAAGTCATTAGTGATCAGAACACAGCTTGACCCTGATCAGAAATCCCTCATGCTAACATCTTTTTCCTTCTAGTCCATATCATCATGCAGAGCAGGAACTGTGAAGTCCCTGGTGTGCGTTTTCTCAGTGAGCCTGCTCACCTTGCGTCTTGCACTGATAAAAATCACAGCCTGTGTGATGGTCAGTGTCTCGTGGAAGTCACAAAGTATATCTAACTTTCATTCCTACAGTATTTCAAAGAGAAAGGTAACAGTCATTTAGTTTTCAACTTTCTTTTGTTAGATATTCATTCTGTTAGGTCTACTGATATATTGCACCAAATCTTAAGACAAAGATCACTTAAGAAAGAGGTCCCCCAGTCTTTACAATGAGAAGAAAATATTAATGAACTTGGAGGCATAGCAATAGAAACTGGCCTAAGTAAAAGACTCAGACAAGAACGAATTTTAAAAATTAAAGAGCATTAGTTATCTCTGGGACAAACTTAAATTTCTGTCTT
Source organism: Homo sapiens (assembly GCF_000001405.40). Classification (NCBI taxonomy): domain Eukaryota; kingdom Metazoa; phylum Chordata; class Mammalia; order Primates; family Hominidae; genus Homo; species Homo sapiens. Next base: position 32,084,835 of record NC_000011.10, on the reverse strand, counting down.
CCTTGAGCTGCTGTGGCCACTTCAGGAGGGAGGGGCTGAAGATGTGTTGGTTGGTAGGGTCTCCAGGGAGGTAGGACTATCCCACTGAACCCAGGAAGTGGGATGTGCCACTTGGAATTATATATATAATTCAAGTCTGTGAATGGGAAGCAAAAAATATACATATTTGAAAAAATGATGTGAAAAAATCTCCAAACTTTATGAAAATTATAATCTGCAGATCCAAGAAGCTCAATAAACTCCAAGTTCAAGAAACATGAAGAATACTCCACTAAGACATCTCATAATCAAATTGCTTAAAACCAGTGATAAAGAGAAGATCTTAAAAGCAGCCAGAGAAAAAAGATAAGTTAGGAATCTATTGTCAGTGTAACAAAGATAGCAACTTTGATATCTTAAAGCAAGTTATTTTTATTTCTGGTGCTATTGACTGAATTGTGTCGCCCCAAGTTTCATATGTTGAAGTGGTAACACTCCCTTTTCTCTGCCCTATGTGAGTGTATTTGGGGACAGAATCTTTAGGAAGTAATTAAGGTTAAATGGGCAGGCGCGACAGCTCATGTCTGTAATCCCAGCACTTTGGGAGGCTGAGGCGGGAGAATCACTTGAGCCCAGGAGTTGGAGACCAGCCTGGGCAACATGGAGAAACCCTGTTTCCACAAAAAAAAATACAAAAAATTAGCCAGGCATGGTGATACACACCTGTGGTCCCAGCTAATCACAGGGCTGAGGTGGGAGGATTGCTTGAGCCTGGGAGGTTGAGGCTGCAGTGAGCCATGAGCATGCCACTGCACCGCAGCCTGAGTGACAGAGCAAGACCCTGTCTCAAAAAAACAAAAAACAAAAAAGTTAATTGAAGTCATAAGGGATACAGATGGGGCTGTAGTCTAATAGGACTAGTGTCCTTAGAAGAGGAAGAGAGAGGCCCCTTGAATGCACGCACCAAGGAAAGGTCATGAGAGCATGTGAGGAAAATGTGAGAAAATGGCTATCTGCAAACCAGGAAGAGAACCCTCACCAAAAGCCAACCATGCTGGCACCTTAATCTCAAACTTCCAGCCTCCAGAACTGTGAGAAAATACGTTTCTGTTGTTTAAGCTACCCTGCCTATGATATTTTGTTATGCCAAACAGAGCAGACCAATACACCTGGTAATTATATTTCGTAGTTGTCCATGGCCCTGGTACACCCAGGTTATGTGTAGATGGAGAAGGGGATACCAGTTGAAAGGGAGGGAGCCTAAAAATTCAAGAAAGAGAGGGTAACTGATAAAGCACTGTCTAGATCTATACAGCCCTTTGGAAATTAAAAGAAAGCTAGGGACTCACACCTAAAAATTGACATAAAGATTCTGCTTTGCTTTCTGAAGATTTGTGGATCACCTTCAGGGCCTCATGGACTCCTCATGATCCTCTGGATCTGAACCAAAATAATCACTGTCCTAGGGAAAACCAGTTGTGTTGGGGTCGAGAGCTTGGCGGGAGATGGGAGGTGAGGAGGGTGATACACTGGAAACAAACAGCAGGGAGCCATTTAGAGGGAGATGCAAGGGCAGTTGGGCATGTTCTGAGTCAATGTCTCCACAGAATGTGAGGACGGTAGGACAGGAGTGCTGGGGCATAAAAGTGCTGAAAAGATTAAGATCTATTCGAATTCGGCAAAAGGATAAGGAAGTAGGAATGATGGAAAGAAGTGAGTGTTTTAGGGACAAGCTGGGATCGGATTATATGATTCCATGAGACCCCATCAGCCTGATGGGTAATTTTCACCAGCTCTCTGAGGAGGGTTTTAGCAACAGCACCAGTAATGGCAGAAAAAAAAAAAAAGTATTTGGGATTTATTGCAAATTGAGAACTGGTAAGGACAGTAAAGGGACGGATCTACTTGCTTTAAACTAGGATTTGTTTTAGGTAAAAGCCTAACTGCAAATGGGATAAGAAAGGAAGAAAAGAGGAAGAATGAGAGAGAGAGAAAAAGAAAGAGAAAAATAGAGCAAGGAAGGAGGAAATGCAGGCAGGCAGGCCGGCAGGAAGTCCTTTTATCCTTTAGAAGGATTAAGGTGGTAGCTATCCTTGTCCTGCCTTGGGGCATTGAATTTCTTACTCTGAATGTATGAAATTTGGCTTCCTGTTAGTAGGAAATTTTAAAAGGTCTCTTTTGTTTTCCTAAAGGTCATAACTAACCTCTGTGGGCAAGAAGTTACTGGGAAGGCTCTACTCTGCTGTTAGGATAGTAGGGAACCGCAGTGACCCCAACCCTTGCCTCCTCCAAGGTAGAGGAGCTTTTAGGCTTCGCTGTCTCTGTGTGGGCTGGAAAGATGAAGCCACTGCCAACCACAGAGCTCAGGGTTACCAGTGGGATCAGACAGGCAGGTTCTGCTACCTGCAATCCCTTAGTGAATCCTGGACAAGCCAGTGTTACCAAGTCTCCTGGACAGGATGCTGCAAGAGCGGACAATGACTTTTTCCACAAAAAGTACTTGAAACACACTCAGGGTTGTTATGGATAAGCTAAAGGATTTCAAAATTTTTTAATGCTGTACTCTATGGAAAAGATTTTTTTCTCCCCTTTGAAAATTGTACAAATGACACATGTTCCTATAGAATAACTCTAAAACACAGATAAACAACAAATGAAAATCACCCCAAATCCTACCATTTGGAAATAACCACTTTCAGCATCTTGTGTATCAGACCTGACTCATTCATATGCAAATGTGTAAATATATGTTTTATGAAAATGGTATCATATTACATACATTGTTTTGCAACCTGCTTCCCATTCCCATTCCGCCTACAATTTATCAGTCTGTTGTGAACATTTCAAGTCAATATACATCTGCATCAGAATTCTTTTTTTTAAACAACCCAAACTGCATCTTCTCCTTCTTATTCTCCTGGAAGAGAACAGTCATCAGTGGCAAATGGCTGCTGTAGTCATGAAACACCAAGAGCCAGCTTCAGGCTCTAGGGAGAATGTTGTGCCTCCTCCTTATGGTGTCATGTGTTCTACATGTTCAGATAGACTTCTTTAGTAATGAACTATAGAAATGATCCCTGAAAGTATAGTCTTTATACCAGCTTTCTTAATTGCTGCAAGGTATTGCAGCATTCCTCAATTGCTGGATGTTTAAACCGCATTTATTACCAGATATCCATTGACATACTAATCCTTTGTAATGAGCAACCTCAATAATTTCATTGGCGTGCAAGAATAAACTGTGTTGTTTACAAGTGTGCAGGGTCTTAGCTGACCTGGGCTCAGCTTAGCTTATCTCTGCTGGGCTGGGCTCGCTCATGCCTCTGCAGTCAGCTGCTGTTGGCTGGGCAGTCTTCCTTGTTTTGACTGTGCTCACTTACAAGCTTGGGACTGGTTGGCTATTGGCTTTGCTAGGATGGCCACAGCTGGGATAACTAGGACAATTTGGCTGTCCCAGGGGAGTTATACTCCAGGAGGCTAGCCCAGGCATGTGCTTATGGCCACTCAGCCAGCAAGGCCTAAGCAGAAAAGTGCAAGTGCTTTTGTAAAGATCTGCTGTGTCACATCTGCTCACATCCTGTTGGCCAAAGCAAGCCATGTGCCAGTGACAGAGTGGACTTATGGGGCAAACAATGTGAACACAGGGAGGGGTGGAGAATGATGTATTAGTCACGGTTCTCTGGAGGGACAGAACTAATAAGATAGATGTATACATGAAAGGGAGTTTATTAAGGAGTATTGACTCACACGATCACAAGGTGAAGTCCCACAATAGGCCATCTTCAAGCTGAGGAGCAAGGAAGCCAGTCTGAGTCCCCAAACCTCAAAAGTAGGGAAGCCTACAGTGTAGCCTTCAGTCAGTGACTGAAGGCCTGAGAGCCCCTGGCAAACCACTGGTGTAGGTCCAAGAGTCCAAATGCTACAGAACTTGGAGTTTGGTGTTCAAGGGCAGAAAGCATCCAGCACAGGAAAAAGATGAAGGCCAGGAGACTCAGCAAGTCTAGTCCTTCCATGTTCTTCTGCCTGCTTTTATTCCAGCAGCTTTTCCTCCCAGACAAAAGGATGAGTTGGATTTCCCCAGGGGAAGGCATTTAGCTGAGATTGGAAGTGAAAGAAAGTAGAATATGTCATCCCAAAAGATGCTTCTTTGACATAAATATTTTTGAGCAAAAGGCAATTAAGAAGCAGCAAACAGAGGGAAAGCTCTTTCTATCCTCCCCTGCTTTTTCTTCCAAAGACAGGATATAAATTCTTCTTTACTGGGAACAGCTGTTGTTCACTCAGATATGGCACAGGAGTAATCTGCAAACAAACCTTACTCAATGACTTTACTCCCATATATTTGCCTTCCCACAGTTTCCCACCTCTGGAAACCTACAACTGCTTTCCTTTGTCTTGTCACTTCTCTAAAATTTATTGTTCTTTGTTGAAGATACCATATAAGCCAGAGTTCGAAGCCACTGCTTGGAGTTACCTTTGCGAACAGAAAATTTCAGGACCTTCAAAATTGATTATGCCAAAGGGAAAAGTTAAGCCTTGAAAACGGAGTCATATAACATGCTTGTTTTTCTTCTCTGATGCATGGCTGTTTCTTCCTGACTTTTGTGTTGAGAGTTATATTTTACTAGGTTTTCTGTTCTTCATTCAAACCTAGACTAAATGACAGAGACCCTTGTGACTGTTACCTCTTCTCAACAGAATATTAAGCAAACTCCTTAAAATGTAATTAAGAGTAGCCAGTCAATCTTATATCTCTGTGTTAGCCTTTGGATGGAAAATGTTGTAATTCTGTTCAGCGCCTCCAGTTTTGTCGGTATAAATGATCTTCACTTTTCCCTACACCGAGAACAGCAGTCACTATTCTTTGCTGTCCATGTGTCCTGGGATGGCCACCCTCACACTTTTTACTTAAATCAATTCATTTGAACTGGATCCTGAGCCTTGTGGTTACGTTAGGTTGACACCTTTTATTGAAGTTTCTCCCATGTGATGTGCACTGCACATGTTAATAAACTTGCTTGTTTTTCCCTTGTTAATCTGTTGCTAACAGGAGTCTGTCCCAAGTACGAATTTATGAGGGTTAAAGAGAGATTAAATTTCCTCCCAGACAGATGGATGAATTGGATTTCCCTAGGAGAAAGCATTCCTCGGGCAGGGCGAGTGTGTGCAAGGACTGTGATAGAAGAAAGCAGGTGCAGACAAGGATGTGAAGACTGCTGCAGCTGCAGTGGAGAGAGTCCAGAGAAGCAGGAGTGAGATCACCTGGAGAGGTATAAGGTGGGGGTCACTAGACATGCCTCCCTAGCAGTGCCTACACCCTTCTTCCTTCCAACAGAATCCCTCTTTTGTTCAGGAATCCATACATCCACTAACACAGCTTTCTGCATCAGGGGATGCTAACTTCACTCTCAGTTCCAGGTAGTAATCCCTCTCCCAGTTTATTAGTCCATTTTCACCTGCTGATAAAGACATACCTGGGTCTGGGTAATTTATAAAGAAAAAGAGGTTTAATGGACTCACAGTTTCACGTGGCTGAGGAGGCCTCACAATCATGGTGGAAGAGGAAGGGACATCTTACATGGTGGCAGGCAAGAGAAGAGCTTGTGCAGGGGAACTCACTTTTATAAAACCATCGGATCTCATGAGATTTATTCACTATCATGAGAACAGCATGGGAAAGACCCACCCTCATGATTCAATTACCTCACACCAGGTCCTTGCCACGACGTGTGGGAATTGTGAGAGCTATAATTCAAGATAAGATTTGGGTGGGGACACAGCCAAACCATATCACGCAGTAATTGGTTTAGTTATAAGGGTGGGCCCCAATTCTGGCAAAAGAGCAATTAAGGAAAGTTTCACAGGGGACTTCCAAAAACAGCTTCCTCACTCTCAAGAACAAGCCACAAGAAAAGATGGCCCCATGTGTTCCCCTGAGTGTTGTGAAATCTGGATGTGAAGCCTGGGCCTGCTGCAGCTATCTTCCCCTCTCAGGAAGAAGCCAGCACTGAGGATGGCAGAATAGCGATGTGGAAAGAATCTTTCTCCCTGATAAAGGTTGGGTTGCTGAATCAATCTGCCCTAAAGGCCACCCTACCTCAGGACTTCTGTTCTATGAGATATTAGAATTCCTTATTGTTCAAGCAAGATTGAGTTTGAGTTCCTGTTACTTGCGTCAAAATGCTGTAAGAGGATAGACTGTGTTCCTGATATGGTTTGGCTGTGTCCTCACCCAAATCTCATCTTGAATTGTAGCTCCCATAATTCCCACATGTTGTGGGAGGGACCGGGTGGGAGATAATTGAATCACGGGAACCGTTTCTCCCATACTGTTCTTGTGGTAGTGAGTGAGTCTCACGAGATCTGATAGTTTTATAAGGGGAAACCCCTTTTGCTTGGCTCTCATTCTCTCTCTTGCCTGCTGCCATGTGAGATGTGCCTTTCGCCTTCCACCATGATTGTGAGGCCTCCCCAGCCATGTGGAACTGTAAGCCCATTAAACCTCTTTTTCCTTATAAGTTACCCAGTCTTGGGTATGTCTTTATCAGCAGTATGAAAACGGACTAATACAGTTTCCTATGTATATTGTAAGCTATGCTAAGGGTTTTTTTTTTTTTTTTTTTTTTGTTGTTGTTGTTGTTGTTGTTGTTGTTTTGCTTTTACCCCAAAACCAATGAAAAGTCATGAGAGAGTTTTAAACAGAGGACATAATTCACATTTGCACTCATGCCGCTGTGTGGAGAGCAGGTTCTAGGGGGCAAGAGTGGATGAAGGGAGACCTGTTAGCAGACCTTTCCTTCAGGAAGAGAATATGGAGTATCTGCCTTGGGCCCCACACTTGAGGTGAGAGGCTGCAAAATGAATATCTTTTTAATGAACCATCATTAAAATTCAATTTTGAGTGTCAGTTTTTAACAGTATCTTCTGGAGCCAATAAAAGATGCCAGTGCCAGTACAGAGTGGCTCCCTTTTAAGGGTCAGTACTTTGGATAAACTCTGCACTGACTTGAGTTGCTATGGGTCCCATTTTCTTCTAGGGATAGCCCCAGAGGGTGGCCTGGATAGAGGGTGATGGCAGTGGAGGTGGGGAAGAGTGGCAGAAACATTTTAGAAGTAATATTTTGGTGATAGAATGAATAGATTCAATCAGAGAGAGAGAGAGAGAGAGAGATGACCCTCAAGTTTCTGTGTAACTGGAGGCAGTGAAGGTGCCATTAGGTGAAATGAAGAAATGTGGAAGGGGCTTATTTTGGGGCAGGGGTTGATTCTGAGTTTAGTTGAACATGTTAATATACCTTTGTAATATTCAAGAAGAGGTTTCTAGAAGGTGGGATATGATACTCAGTTTCTAGAAGGTGGGATATGATACTCAGAGGACAGATTTGGGTTGGAGTGAATAATACTTTAGTCATGCCCATTTTAGGAATTAATTGAAATCATGGACCTCCATGTGAAAGGGCTTTGGGAGAGAAGAGGCTTGGGAGAGAAGAGGCTTGGAAGAGAAGAAACCTAGGACCAGGCCTGGAGGACTGGGCAGAGGTAGATGGGGCCTGCAAAGACCACTGAGAGGTTTTTGTCAGAGAGGTAGAAAGGGAACAGAAAAGTGGCTTGTTATGGGAGCAAGCGGTCAGAGTATTTCAAAAATCAGAAAATTTACTGAGGTGCTGATAATTGTTGAAGAGTCAAAGGAGAAGTGTGATAGTCTCCAAAGATGGCCCCAGGGAAGTATGCTTCCTGAAATTCATATCTTCGTGTAGTGCCCCCAACACTGAATGAATGGGGGTGGGGCCCGTTCAATCACTAGACTGAAGCAGAGGGGATGCTACGCGACTATCAAGGTCACAGAAATCCTTGCAACATCCATCTTGGTCTCTTGAAATACTTTCTCAGTGAGACGCCAGCCCCCATGTAAGAGGTCTCTTTACCCATAAACCCCCATGCTGTGAGGAAGCCCAAACTACCACGTGAAGGTACTCTATGGAAGGGGAAGGAGAGAGAGGGAGAGATCCCAGTCCCCAGTTGTTCCTGAGATCCAACCTGGATAGCAGCCATGTGAAGAAAGAAGCCATCTAGGATGTGAAGCCTTCAGATGACGCCAGCTCCTTAAGAGGCCCCAAGTGAGAACTGCTCAGCTGATTCCAGTCAATCCATGGAACTATGAGAGATACAGATAAATTCCCGCCTTAAGCTATTGAATTCTATAACTGGAATAAGATGGGAATTGATCAAATAAATATCTGTTTGATTTGAAAGAATGGAGGTCATTACTGTTTCTGGGTGTGACAGGAGCAGAAGCCAGATCTGACTGGGTTGAAGAGAGGGTGAAAGCTGAAGAAATTAAGAAAGCAAACGTGGTGGCTTTCTGGAGACTCCTTCAGCTATGGATGGGGAGGAGGAAAGTTGGTAGCTGGAAGAGGATGTGAGGATGAGGGACAGATTTTCTGAAAGTGGTCTCCATCATGTAAGTATGTTTAAAAGTACTGCCTATGAAGTACTCTTGATTTAAAAAAAAAAAAAAAGACAAATATGGGGGAATATGGGAGATAGAGACACAAGTTATCAGCACTTTAACAATGTGATCAGCTAAGTCAAGAGTGTGGGACACTCTATGTAACAAATGGCCCAAGAAATCAATGGCATTTAAAAAATATAAAGGCAGGGAGACTATTAGAGGACAAAAACAACTTAAGAGACAAAACAATGAGATACAGTATGAGAACCTTGTCTGGATCTTGATTTGAACAACCCAACTATAAAAAGACATCCTGGAGACAATTGGGAAAATAAAATATGGACTGAGAATTAGGTGATATTAAGGAATCACAGTTATTTAGCTGTGATAACGGCCTGGAGGTTATGTTTTATAAAATTGGCCCTTATCAATTAGAGACGCATAATGTGATGGCCCAATACACGGAATTTTCTTTAAAATATGGCCAGGTGCAGTGGCTTAAGCCTGTAATCCCAGCACTTTGGGAGGTGGAGGCAGGTGCATCACCTGAGGTCAGGAGTTCAAGACCAGCCTGGCCAATGTGGGAAATCCCATCTCTACTAAAAATACAAAAATTAGCTGGGTATGGTGGTGCATGCCTGTAATCCCAGCTTCTTGGGAGGCTGAGGCAGGAGAATCTTAGAGCCTGGGAGACAGAGTTTGCAGTGAGCCAAGATTGTGCCACTGCACTCCCGCCTGTGCAACACAGCAAAAACTCTGTCTCCAGAATAAAATAAAATAAATAAAATATATACATTGATAAAATGGTGACAATTGTTGAGGCTTGCTGATGGGTAAGTAGGAGTTCATTATACTAGTTTCTCTGTTTTTGAATGTATTTGAAAATTTTTATAATTTATAAGAAAAAGTTTAAAATTTTTTATAAGTTTTTAAAACTATATTGAAACACATTATTATTATTATTATTATTATTATTATTATTATTATCATTATTATTAAAAAAGGATTTAAAGGTAACAATCAGGTTAACATTCACTTGTGGTAGCCAGGTATATAGTATGTGTTCATTGATGTAATGATTCTCCTCCTGGGATATTGGAGAGAATACTCACACTAATTGTCACTAATGATACTCTACGAAGCCAAAAAGAGCCAAGGGGAAGGATTGATTGAAAGGAGGTGGATGAACACCCGAAAAGCAGGAGGCATGTTGATAGTGTAAGGTTCCGAGAAGGAGTTGGGGTGGGATCCTGAGTCAAGGTGAAGGAAGGGGCCCATGGAGACAGGGGTACATGTGTTGGTGTCTGAAAGAGGAGAGACATCTTAGAGACATCTCTAAATCTCCGATAATTAGAAGTGAGGTCAAATGCAAGAAGGGTGGGGGATCGGCAATTAGAAAATTGGAGTTTGAAGAGATTTGACAAAGTTATTGAGGGGGATGGGGAGTGTGTTTACTGGAGGAACACAGTAGAATTGCAAGGAAGTTTACAATATTAGCAAGATTTGTTATTGAAACAATGGACCACGGACCTTAAGCTGGATATGTTGAGAACAATTGAAGGAAAATGCCCATGGACTAAGAGGAAAAAGAGGTGTTGTTAGTGTGGCTACCCTGATGATGTTGAAGAATAGAACTACCTCCAGCTGGGTGGGGCATGTTGGCTCACGCCTGTAATCCCAGCACTTTGGGGGGCAGAGGTGGGCGGATAACCTGAGGTCGGGAGCTCGAGACCAGCCTGACCAACATGGAGAAACCCCGTCTCTACTAAAAATACAAAATTAGCTGGGTGTGGTGGCACATGCCTGTAATCCCAGCTACTTGGGAGGCTGAGGCAGGAGAATTGCTTAAACCCGGAGGCAGAGGTTGCGGTGAGCCGAGATCGCACCATTGCACTCCAGCCTGGGCAACAAGAGCAAAACTCCATCTCAAAAAAAAAAAAAAAAAGAAGAACTACCTCCAGAGATTTGGACTTGGAAAGTGTGGAATGGGTGTCATGCATCTGTGTGTTTAATAAGGAGTTCAGTTGATACTAATGCAGGTGCACGTGGTTCTTAGATCATACCTTGAGAAACACTGCCCTGGTGGTTGGATGGACGGTGAAGCCGGCTTGAGGCTGGAGGCCTGTCATTTGCAATGGGAAGTATGCAGGACAGACAAGAGAACATGGATCTATTTGTTATTTTTGGTGGCTCTGTAGCTTTCTTGGCCTGATGGATTGCAATTTGGGGGCCCAATTTGTCCAAATGGGCACCTTTCCCAGGGTCCTGGGTGGGCTCAAGCACAAAGGTAGGTGGCCCTGAAAGGAACCCCATCTGTGTTCTTCCTAGGGACTTCTCATTCAAGGACTTTAACCACTGGGGGTTTTGTAGTTTGTTGTTTGTTTTTGCAATTTTTGATTCTAGAAATAAAATTGAGCTTTCAAAATCAACCAACCAACCAACACTGTTGAGGTTGGCATATTTGGGCTAATTGTTTTCCTTTTCATTTAGACTTATTACCCACTGCGTGTGAGGTAGCACTTTCAAGTAAATCTTTGGTAATTCCCAGGAATAAAGCAATTGCCTTCATTTCCCAGCAGGGCATACTAAAGTGGGCTCATTTGCAGAGAGAACAGGAATAGCAGTTTTTATAGCTTAAGGCCTGGAAGAAACTGCTTTTTTTCTGACAATCATAATCCACTCATGCTTTAAAAACATGTTTCAAAATCAAAAGGACTCCAAGAGTCTGGGATATGCTAGAAGGATATATTAAGACATAGCTCGTTTGTCAATTTATCTCTAATCTAGATAAATTTACCTCCTATTTCTCCTCTCTTGCAGCTTCCTCAGCCACAGACCCGATGAGTTGCCTGGATGTCAAAGAATTAAGCCTGCCTTGAATTAGCAGAAGCAACAGGAATCCAGAGGGAATTGACTTTTTTTTCTTTTTTTCCCTGGTCTCCACTGTGATTCTCTGATTCAAATTTGCGGTGGCAGAATGAAAGGAAGGGGGGTGCTCCTGGAGGGAAGCACTGCCCCAGCAGAGGCCCTGAGGGGAGCAGGTCACGTGGCCGATGTCCCGAAGGCCTGACTGAAGCAGAGCAGAAGCAAGGCTGGCTGGGTGTGGGGGGTGCTGAGCAGAGGGGCTTTGAGTGGTGTCTGGGGAAATCCTGAGCCATTTAAATGAACCATTTAAATCTGACAGACAAATTGGTGTTTTAAGAAGATTTACCAGGCAGTGATGTGCAGGATGAGGTGGGGGTGGAGCCGAGGCGGGGTTGGGGGGGGTGCGATGTTAACAGGGGTAGGAGGAGAATGAAGCTGGGAGAATAAAGATTCTGCTTTGAGTCAACAAACACTTACTAAGCACCTACTGTGTACCTTGCCTTGCACCAGGCACCACCTTCAGGCATGCGCCCTCTCAGTGAATAGAATCAGCATCTGCCCTTTCAGCTAAGCCAGAACCTAGTTTCCTTGGTGATGCCTTCCTCTCCCTTTTCTCCGCAATGGATGGAGTCCTCCTGTAATGCCACCTCTTACCTCCGCCTCTTCTCTCCTTCAAGCCACTGACATCTTTCACTGGATCCCAAGCCTCCAGTCTGCCCTCTGTAACTCCTCCACCTGGAAGTTATTGGGGTGGGCTGGTGGGGGTGGCCTAAAACATATGGAGGCAGGCCATCATCCCAACAGGTACCCTTCAGTGGGCTCCCCACTGTCCTCAGGTAGAAGTCCAAACTCTTTAACAGAACCTGGAGGCCCTTGATATCTGGGTACTTAGCTCTCCTTTGTTTTCAGGGCTCTTGCCCTGAATCTCGCCCTACCTTGAATCTTGTGACTCGGCCGTGCAAAAATGCTTCCAGTACCTCCTCTGAAGGGTCACATTCTCTGTCCTCTTCCCTGTGGTGATAATATCCTCCTTTGTACTCCTACCCACTGACTTATTCTTCAGAATCCATTTAGAGACCCCTTCCTCCCACAATTCTTCCTGGTCCGCAGGTCCTTCCCAGTGTCTTCAGGAACTGTCTCTGACGCTCTCCTGGGGCTTATGACATCATATTTTCACTGACCATTCTCCTCTACATTTGAGCTTCCAGAAGGCAGGGACTGCCTCTTCCTTCTCACTCAGCACCCTCCTGACACATAAAATGTACTTAGTAAATATTCATCAAATGTGAATGAATGACTTTACCAGAATCTGGGGTGGGGGCAGGCGAGAGGTGTTGGTCCCAATTTACAGATAAAGAAACTGAGCTTCAGAGAGTGATTTAATCATTTGTTCAAGGCCTCTCAGCTTCAAAGCTCAGAATCCACTTCAGGGTGCTGATTTCCCGACCAGGGCTTTTTCCTCCTCTTTGCAGCCACAGGAATGGAGGTCATTAAAGAAAAGAGTCCTGCACAGTGAATTCCGGTCTGACTGGTCATTCAGCAAGCTTCCAGTAGGGGCCACTGAGGGAATGAATGCAACAATAGGTGAAGAGCCTTTGATATATTAGGAAGGGATTTCATAAACTGGAGTATTATTCGGGTTAGAGATTGGAAGGGCTAGGAGTCCAAATGAACCGTTTTCCAACATAATTTGAACATTTATTTCACTATGTATTATTCAATACACAAGCCCTCTCTGTTTCTGAAAGCTGAAAGATCTGGTTGCATGTGTTCATTACTCTTTTTTTTTCTTCACTCCAATAAATGCTCTTTGCCTACCTTTTTTATTTATTTATTTTTTGATTGACTGGAAGAACCACATTGCAGAATGATAGATATTGTTCATTTAACGCCAACATTTACTTCTCCCCTAAACTGGTGTTCTGTTTGTGATTGATCAGACTTCTCCCCCATTTAGCACCCATGTAAAACATTGCAAAAGATTGGGTCTGCAGCTCGGATAACATTTTTGCAGCCATCTATTCAAGCCACAGCAGGCATGCCGAGTGGCATGGAAGCTTTTAATGAAACGTCGCCGGATATTAGGGTTTTATGGGCTGGAAAACAGTACAAATCAAAGCACTTTGCTTACTGTTTATCTGTTTAGAACATTTTTATTTCCTAAACCTAGCAATGTTCATCTTTTTCATCCAGCATTTTGGTTTGTTTTTTTTACATATTGATTTTCCTGTTCACTGGCATGCCCTGATGAAGTCGGAGCACTCACATGTGCTGTCTATACAAGCATGGGGCAGGAACAGGAGCAGTGGGGTGCATTCTCTGCCCTGAGACCCCTTAACTCCAAGGACAGGAGAGAGCAGTGCTCACTGTATTTTTTAAAAAGAAAAACTTGTCTTTCCCCTGTGTGGTTTTCCCTTGAGCCATCAGGATAGCTAGGCCGATCATTTTAGTATCGTCCCAACCTTCACATAAAAATCCTACAGCAAAAGCTGTGTTCTCGCCTTACATTTTATAAGGAGATGTAATAGACAGGGTCCCAGCAGGAAACCAAATCCATCAGGTGGTTTACCCAGGGGTTGGCAAATATTTTCCATAAAAGGCCAGATAGTAAATATTTTTGGCTTTGCAGGTCACATACAATTTCAGTCGCAGGTATGTTTAGACATACCTAAACAGTGTGTGTGGCTCTGTTCCAGGAAAACTTTCTTTGCAAAAGGAGACTGGGAGGGTGGTATTTGGCTTGTGGGCTAAAGTTTGCTAACTCCTGATTTAAATTAAAAGACTTAAGGGACAACGTACAGATACCTGGTCAGGGTCAAAGGAACAAACACGGGATGCTGAGATGTCTAGAGACTAGAAGCAGAAGGAGCCTATTACTCCCTCAAAGGCTGATAGACGTGGTGTGACCAGCACCCAGAGGGAGTGGGTTCTGGGGAGGCACTAGGGCAAAGAGGATGCATGGAAGAAATACCCCAACCTCTTCCTCCTCCCTCCTTCAGATATCCTGCTGGTGCCTCCCGTTGTCTGACCCAGTCAGGGGCCAGCCAGCAAGGGGCTTGGTCCTCTGAGGCTTGCAGTCCTCAGAGGTCAGCATCTCGGAGCACAGAGCAGGTGGAGAACAGATCAGGGAGGAGGTGGGGTGAATGCAAAAGGAGGCAGAGCTGCGTGGAGATGTCTATTTGGGGACTAATTTCTTAGACCCACTCCTTTTTGAAGTGAAATTCAGTGTGACTGGCAGCATCCCCTGACCCTGGCCATGCACCATGACTTTATTCCAAAGAACTAACCGTCCCCCTCATGTGATGAGTATATGATCTAATTCGGGCCAATGAGACACAGGCACAGAACTTTGTGAGCTGTTGGGAAGGTTGATCTCTCCATCCAAGGTTTGAACTTTGGCAGCCAACTGAACACATGGTGGGGCCCTCACCAGGGAAGAGCCTGTGGTCAGTAAGTACAAGGGAAGGCAGAGTGTATGGGGGTGGGAGGAACCCCGGTCCTGATACTGTCTGTCCCTGAACCCCTGGATCAAGCTGTACCTGAAATAAACACCTCATTTCTCAATTATGTGAGGCAATGCATTTTCCCCATCTCATCACCATCTTTTTTTTATTTTTCTTTTCTTTTTTTTTTTTTTAACCAAGACCAGTTCTCAGTTCTCTTTTTCTGTCAACTGACGGGATCCTGCCTAAGAGAGAGAATCTAGATTTGTCTCTGGAGCCAAGGTCTGCCCATTCCACAGCTGTGTGAACTTCAGATGAGGTACATCTAATCACCAATGCATGCAAGAAGTAATGATTCTCCTGTGTGCATAAATATTTTCATGTGTGTATGCAGCTGCGTTCAAACAATGATATTTATTTCTAGCGTGTTCATTTCTGAGACACATAAAAAAATCTTTCTGAATATCTATGTGGTATGAACCTCATGTGTCACAAAGGTAATGGATAGGCATGGTGAGATAACCATAGCAACCCAGCAGGTTCTGCAAGATCACGTCATGTGAACACTGCAGCTCAGGGACACTGATGGTACCTGCCCAGGTCTATGTTGTTTGGGTGACTTTTCCTTCGCTTGAACAGAGGACTTCTTACCATGCCACACCTCCCATCAGTCAGTAATTCATTCCCCAAATGTTGAATTTTATGGACCAGTAAAATGTCCAAAATAAAGAACTGGAAGAAAGTTGTCAACTTTTTATTTTGCTAAGTGAGGACATTTAACAAAACAGAAAACAAACAACTCCCATCTATTCTCACCCTCACTTTGTGAAAGAAAAGACACTTTCACAGTCTGAAATTACAGATTAAAGAGAAGCCCTTAAACAGAACCCATTTATCTTTAAGAAAAATGCATGACTTCAGGGATGCTGTCTGTTTGGAAACTCGCACACAACTGGCACACCTGGATGAGGGGCACAGAGGGCCCAAATGCAGTTCTCACTCTGCTTGCCAAGACATGCCCCCTGCACGGGCTGTGTCCACTCAGATGAAGAAGTTTGCTTTTCATTACACAAAAGGTCTCCCTGCTTTCTAAGCCGTGTGCCGACAGGGCTGTGTTTGCAAGGGCAACCTTCTCTAATCTGCAAAACGCTTTCAGAGCTGGCAGCGGCCCTGCACTACATTGTTCTGCTTTAAAAAATTTCACGGGGGCTGTGCTTTGACCAGTGCCTGGCACTTAGTAGGTGCTCAATAAATATGTGCCTAATGGATGTTGAATGGCCGAAAGGAACTCCATCAAGGACCCATCCTGATCTGCAAGTTGACGTTAGGGGCCCCGGTGGTAGTGTGCAGTGAAGCTATGGGAGTCAACTTTGCGTAACTTTCTTATCTCATCAGTGTTCAAAGGGAAGGGAGTGGAGAGCAAGATAAGAGAAGCCCCTCCTGCTTCTTCGCTCCTTGAGGGGACCATAAGGAAACCAGCCTTGTGCTTGCTATGGCTTATTTAACACATTTAGCAGCTCAGGCAACTGATCCTTTGAAGGGTTAAATAATCTGCTCCAGGTCACCCAGTGGCAAAGTGAGATTTTGACTGCAAAGTCACAAATATGGCTGAGATTTGTGTAGTGTTACCCCAGGCTCTTGCAGTCAAGGAGTGCATCTGTGGACGTCTGCCCTGTGTCCCTAGGAAATTGCTCAGCTGTGGTGTTCGTGGTCAGTATCTCCCCATCTCGCTTTTCACCACCTCGCTCTCTGGCCACCCCTATCAGCTTCTTGCTCCCATCTGATCTGGAATCATGGAAAGCATGACTCAGAGAGGGTGTACTAGTTTCTTAGGGATACCGTAACAAATTCCCATGCACTTGGTAGCTTAAAACGATTCAAGTTTGTTCTCTCACAGTTCTGGAGGCCAGAAGTCCAACATGAGCTTCACTGGACTGAAATCGAGATGTCGGCATGGCTGTACCCTCCAGTGTTTAGGGGGAAATCTGTGCTTCTTCCAGCTTCTGGAGCTACATTCTTTGGCCTGTGGCCCCTTCCTCCATCTCCAAAGCTAACAGTGTGGCATCCTCAGATCTCTCTCTGCTTCCGTCATCACTGCACCTTCTGATGCAGTGAGCCCGATACCCTGCCTCTCCTTTTTTTAGGGACATGTGATGGCATTCAGGGCATCCAGATATGTCAGGATAACCCTTTTGTCTAAAATCCTTAATTTAACAATGTCTACAAAAACCTAACTGTGTAAAGTAACATTCACCACTTCCAGGTATTAGGACCTGTTATCTTTGGCCATTATTTAGCCTACTACAGAGGGTAAGTGACCTGCCCAAGGTCATGCAGCAAGTGTGGGGTTCAAACCCAGGCAGACTCCCTCCAGTCCACACTTGACCACCCAGCTGTCCTGCTAAAGGGATAACAGAATAAACCATGATTCATATCAAGGAAGGGATGATTTGACATCCAGACACAGCTATTTGCATGAAGCTATTAAATTGCCTTGAATATTTTTGGAAGTGAAAGCTAAATTAACCAGCTCACCCCTCTGTGCAGCTAGGCCAGGTCTCTGTCACGTTTTTTTAATGGGCTTGTGAAGAAACACAGGTTTGTTCTGCTGTTTGTAGCTCAGTCATTGGACTTGAGACCTATTAATAAATTTGAAATATCTGCTTAAGGGCTAGAGGAGGAAAAGGGAAGGAAGGCAGTTAAAGAGGGGGCAACAATAAATGCCCAAGAAACTGGGTTTCTTCTCAGCCATAAGCCTGTCCTCCAAGCTGAAACCAGTGGAATCTGGTATCTCCTAGGGGAACCCGAGGGTTGATGAGTGCAGAGGTTGAACAGAGGTGCCTGATTGTCTATTCACTGCTTGGCCAGCCTAAAAACTCTCCTCTATCTGACACTTTTCCTGCTTTGTCCTGTGTTTGCTAGTCATGGAACTGAGTGAAAAGAGTGAGCAGATGGTGTGCAATTTCAATGATCTAATGATTCCGACCTTAAAAGACCAGGGAACAGGTGAACAAATCCATGCTTAACATTTATTAAGAATCTACGTGCCAGACACATTATATAGTATTAATCTTCCTTAACCCCTTTTATAGATGAAAGAGCTAAGGCATAGAAAGGTTAAATGACTTGTCTGAAATAAGACAGTAAAGCAAGAATCTGAACCCAGGTCTGTGTGGCTGCAAAAGTCATGCCCCGTGTGATTGGTTTTAGAAGACCCGAATTCTCCCATTCTTGCTTCACCTGCTCTTTAATGTGGAGAAAGCTTGTTCAACATGTGGCCCAACTTTGAATGAGGCCCAACACAAATTCATAAAATTTCTTAAAACATTATGAGATTTTTGTGTGTGTGATTTTTTTTTAGCTCATCAGCTATCACTAGTGTTAGTGTATTTTATGTGTGGCCCAAGACAATTATTCTTCCAATGTGGTCCAGGGAAGTCAAAAGATTGGACATCCCTGGTAGAGGTTTAAGGTCTGGCCTCTGGAGGCAGAGTACAGGGGTTCAAACTCTGATTCACCTCCAGGCTCCGTAAACTTTGCCAGGTAACCCAACCTCTCCGTGACTCTAGGACATTGAGATTCATAGCAAAGTGCGTGGAACAGTAACTGGCTCATTACAAGTTTAGCTATTACTATTACTATTGGCACATCCAGTAACTTAGGCAAGAGAGGTAGTTTATCATCAGGATGTCACTAAAGGTCATTGACGTCAAGCCAGAATTGAGTACAACTACTAGGTAATAAACAGGGCAAAAATCCATCTCTTTACCTTGGTTAAAGGCATGCAGTTAATACAAATAAACAAGAAACCCAGAAGCCTGGAAGAACTGAATACTACAATAATTATAATAAACTGTGTTTTCTTTACTTTCTTGCAGATTTTAGCTGAGAAATACCCCCTTAGCATCTGTGACATGTTTTCTAGAACTCAGGGTCTCAGCAGTACTACAATACAGGACCTGCACAGAAACAGTTTGCCGAGTTATCAGCACCATCGAATGTTTATGTGACAGAGGCGGATTCTCAGTCACTTCCCCATTCACTGTGACGGGAGCAGACCTCACCAACCACCTTGCACAGCCTATGCATCAGAAACAGTCAAGAGGCTGCTCTGTGCCTAATGCTGGCCTGGGTGCTGCCAGGGAGGCAGAAAGCAAATAAAGCATTGTCCCCATCCTCCAAGGTGACTTGTAGAGTCAAATCATCACACATGAAGTCAGACAACAGTGTGAGCTCCAAGTGTTAGCACAGGGATGTAGTCAGGGTTTGGCTATGGGTTGGCTGCAGAGGTGTGAATGTGCCCCATAGGAGGTGGGACCTGAGCTTGACATTTGAAGAATAGTTGGGATTTGGATAAGGAAAGGGAAAAGGAAAGGGCATGCCCTCAGAGGGGATCAGAATCAGCAAAAGTGCTGATGGGGAGAAACTCCCATTGAACCATCACCTGCTGATCCTGGGCGCTGCACATTTTCTCTTCGTTCACCCCTGACCTCAGTGTTTCCCATTGGAAGCCTATGGTGGCAATCACAGAAGAGTCCTTCTCAGACTGGTCTAAATGTAAAGATTTACTGTTTGGAGCTCAGATATGGGACTGCTGGTGCACGTGGTCAGGCATCCAGCAGTGGAGTTGGGTTCAGGTTTTTTGGATGAGGAGAATGAAGAAGGCTAGGATAATGGAGAAGTAAATGATGAAGGCATAGAACTTGTTGAAGAATAAAGACGCCAAGAGTGAAATGGTGAAATGGAGAATTTAAAAAAGAAGACAATGAATAAGTGGAGTAACCCATTTTGCAAAAATCTTACTGTGGCTTGACTGCTTTTGCCTGGTGACTCTCTGCCCTCTCACCTGAGTGGGGAAATTTAGTTCCTTCATCCATTCCTTTTGGGGTCTGCCTGTCTGTAGAGAGCATGTGCTTGGCTCTGCTCTTGGCTACAGGGTAAACGTGGGAGTAAAGCCTTTGCCCTCATGCTCGGGAGGAAGCCTGTAGCTTTTCTAGTGATGCCTGTTGCAGGGGAACACATCTGATTAGCTTTGAGTTTCAATATTGGGGGTCTGTGGTAGGAGAGCTTACACGTGGCCAATGACAGTTGAGCAGAAGTGATGGGTCACTTCTAAGTGGAAGCTCTGAGAGTCAATGTGGGGCTCACCATACTTACGTTTCCCTCTCCTCCATGATAATTGAAAATGTTCCAGTTAGAGTCTGTTCCAATTGCTGTGACTCCAAGTTAAGGTGCCATGGAACAGATCCTCAGCTGGGCCACAGTGGATCTGTAATGTGATAGAGAACTAAATTTTTGTTTTTAGCCAACAAGACTCTTGGGTTGTTTGTTACTGCTGCATAAGCTACCTCTCCTGCCTAACACAAAGCCTACAGTTGCTGCTGCACATCTAAGCAACTTTCTGCAGCAGCCCTATTAGTAGTAGATTGACATTTGCATCTCCATCTGCCCTACTTTTTTCCCTTTTCTTGTGTTCTGTTGGGATAGAGGTTGTTATTATTTGCATTCCCTCATACTCTAATAAGTGCCCAGTCTGTGAACTCCAGGTAAAAATTAATCTTGCTTCTCACTGTACAAAAAGGAAAGTTGGAAGCATCAACAGAAAATGTATTGGTGAGTTTTGATGTTGTGAAGTGAGTGGAAGATTATTTAGATAAATGAATTAATCTGATTGAAATGGTTCCCAGAAGTAAATGTCAATGAACCAGACGTGGTAATTTCTTGCTCATGAAGTAGTGTTAGTATGCATGTGACTTGAAGTTTATGTTAAAACACAAGCACTGAATTACCTCTTGGGGTGTGGATGGTGTAGACAGGGCATGTGGCCACCATGAATGGAAACTGTCTGTGTCAAATATGGTCAGCTCAGGCAGGATGATGGGCCAGACTCAAGGTTCCCAGAATTTAGTCGTGAATCATAAACAATAAGGCAAGGCCAGAAATATATCTTTTGTGTAGAAATTAACATCAAGCTATCTGTAAACATCTGCTAAGCAACATCCAAGTGGCTTCTGTGTACTGGCGGCTTCGCTTCAGTGCTTCAGAATAACAAGTGTTGCCTTCAGAGGGAATAATTGCTCTCTTAAAATGTGTGTGTGGGAATCTTAGGAGATAGTTACCTAGTCATATGCACATTTCCAAAAATGGGTTGCCATTAAAATGTGTGCCCAAAAAAGGGATTAAACAAACAAAATATCAGGAAAATGCTGAGTTCAATTTTCATGTTTTGTTTTGGATTTTGTTTGTTTGTTTTACTGTAGAAGCTTCTCAGAGGCTCTCCAGAAGGGGTTATGTATTAGTAGGAAACCACTTCCTGAAATTTTTTGACCACAGAACAATCGACCAATCAGTCACTCGATCACTGATAGATAGGTAGATAGACAGACAGATGGAGGAATGGAAGGATGAAGGAATGGATATGGGCATAGGTAAATAGAAATATTTAGCATTTCATTCGAATATTTGTAAATAATAAAGAGTATTAAGTGAACTTATATAATAAGTATACCTTTGACTAGATAAACAGACTTCCACTGATGTGAGCTCTTACAGTGAAAATTAAATCAACTGAACAATTAGGATGCTTTTGGGAACAGAAAACAAATTTCTATATAGAAGGAACTTAAACAATAAGGTTATCTGTTATCTCACGTAAGAAGTCTGGAGGCAGAGTGCTTTCAGAATTGGTTAATTCAGCAGCTCTACAATATTATTTGAATGTAAATGTTTTCTTTCTTTCTGCCACTGCTTTCTGAAGCATGAAGGCAATCTCTCCCTCTTAGTTGCAAGATGTTGCTGCAGTTTCTGATTCCCACACAAAGCAGACACAATATTCCACAAAGTTAGAGGGAGGGATTTCCTCATGTGTGGCTCTTTTGTTTTGTTTTGTTTTTGAGATGGAGTCTTGCTCTGTCACCAGGCTGGAGTGCAGCGGCACCATCTCAGCTCACTGCAACCTCCGCCTCCTTGGTTCAAGCAATTCCCCTGCCTCAGCCTCCCAAGTAGCTGGCACTACAGGCACGTGCCACCAGGCCTGGCTAATTTTCTGTATTTTAGTAGAGACAGGGTTTCACCATGTTGGCCAAGAGGGTCTCGATCTCCTGACCTCGTGATCTGCCCATCTTGGCTTACCAAAGTGCTGGGATTACAGGCATGAGCCACCACGCCCAGCATTTTTTTTTTTTTTTTTAAGGAAAGAAACTCTTTCCCAATAGCCCCCAGCAAACTCTCCTTAAATCCACACAGCAAGGTTTGGGGTGCACATCTGTGCCCTGAATGCAGTGAAAGCTGGGAAGGGAAGTATTTTACATTTTAAATCTACAGAGTGGAGGATGAGTCCTACCAGCAGCGGGGAGTGTGATGTCTCATAATTGTTGGTAGGCAAGCAGCCAGTAGTGTCTATTATATAATTGCATGAGCTTAGTGTATTAGTCTAGGTTCTCAGAGAAACAGAACGAATAGGATATATATCTCTATCCATCTATCTATCCATCTATTCATCCATCTATCCATCCATCCACCATCCATCCATCCATTTATCTATCTATATATCATCTATACATCCACCCATTCATCCATCTATCCGTCTCTCTGTTATTTATCTAATCTATCTATTTACCATCTATCATCTATCTATTATCTGTCTATCTTTCATAAAGAGTTGGCTCACAAGGTTATAGAGGCTGAGAAATCCTGAGATCTGCAGTCACCAAACTGAGGACTCAGGAAAGCAGATGGTATAGTAACAGTCTGAGTCCGGAGGCTGGAGATGCTCAATCAATATTCCAGCTTAAAGACACAGAGAGTAAATTTTCTCTCACTCCACCTTTTTGTTCTGCTTAGGCCTTCAAGGGATAGGATGAGGTTCATTCACACTGGGAAAGACCATCTCCTCTACTTTGTCTACTGTTTCAAATGTTAATCTCATCTGGAAACCCTCTCATCAAAATTCCTAGAATAATGTTTAACCAAATATTAGGGCACCCAGTACAGCAGTCAAATTGACACATAAAATTAACCATCACACGTAGGCAAGTTACCTCTTCAGGACTTAGTCACCTCATTTGTAAAGGGAGATAACTAATTGGGTTGTTGTGAGAATTAAATAAAATAATGTATTTACTTAGCATAGCATCTAGCACAAAATTTGCTCTCAATACAGATTTTTAAGCACAAAATTGAACTCATTGTAATAATACCAGAAATTTCATCAACTGTCTCTCATGCTGCCTCAGGTTCTCAGCACCTTACACATGCTGAGTTAGTCATGTCAAGGAGTCCCAAAGGGTTATCACACATAAACTTGGAAATCAGCCTGTCCTCTGCAATTGCTACACAGCCATGGTATTTTTCTCTTACCCTGGCTCATTGCAGAAGTCAATTGTCTGCAAAGCCACTTAAGATAAGAATACTAATGGCCATGCCATGCATGGACTGTACTGATCCCGAGATGGTCCCCTTGAGGATTCCAGAGCTGGGTTCTCAGCATAGGTGGGGGGAAAAGCCCTCCAAGTTGCATAGAATGCTCCATGAAAACCACTTTTGCTTCTTCCACAGCTCTTCTCTCCATAGCTCACTCGTTCAAAAAATATTTATCAAGCATCTACTATGTTCCAGCACCGTGCTAGAGAGTGGCTCACAGATAGTTGGTAGGCGAGCTGAACCAAAGGTGTCTGTTCAGTTGGCAGTGAAAAGTTGAAGAGTTGGGGAAAGAATCTGCATCTTTCTCAGACCAAGGATGCCAAGAGGTCACAGTGCTTGTGCCCTCCCTGAATCCTTGGCAGTTAAAGGGGTGGGTGAGGGTGGGGAGAAGCATAAGAATTTTGCAGCTATGGTCTTTGAGAGTGAAGACTATTGCTTCTCATTGTATCTGATGTTTACATCAGGTTTTCTGTAGCTGGCCTGGCCAGGGTGCCATTTTGGAATGGGAGTAGACAAAAACAAATAGAGCTTCTCTGTCTTTCCTGGTTTGTTTGTTTGTTTTTGTTGTTATCATTACCCTCTTTTGGGATTTGTAAAATCCATGCCTGGAACTGAAAACACCAGAGAATAGGGAGCTGAATTTTCTTCTTCCTTCTACCCCAACAGGGTGTGTGATTTGAAGGCAAAATGAGGTTCCAATATTGGTCAACATTGCCAGTGGTGTCACAGGTTAAGCAGGTTGGATTCTAAAGTCAGTCAAGGAATATAAATTGTTCTGTTTACAAACACACATACATGCATATGTTCATTGCAGCACTATTCGCAATAGCAAAGATATGGAATCAACCTAAATCCCCATCAATAATAAACTGGATAAAGAAAATGTACATATATACCATGCAATACTCTGAAGCCATAAAAAGTAATGAGATCATGTCCTTTGCAGAAACATGGATGGAACTGAAGGCCATTATTCTTTCTTTCTTTTCTTTTCTTTTCTTTTCTTTTCTTTTTTTTTTTTTTTTGAGATGGAGTCTTACTCTGTCGCCCAGGCTGGAGTGCAATGGTGCGATCTCAGCTCACTGCAACCTTTGCCTCCTGGGTTCAAGCGATTCTCCTGCCTCAGCCTCCCTCCTAAGTACCTGGGATTACAGGCACTCACCACCACGCCCGGCTAATTTTTGTATTTTTAGTAGAGACAGAGTTTCACCATGTTGTTCAGGCTGGTCTTAAACTCCTGACCTCATGATCTGCCCACCTTGGCCTCCCAAAGTACTGGGATTACAGGCGTGGACCACCGCGCCTGGCCAAAGGCCATTATTCTTAGCAAACGAACACAGGAACAGAAAACCAATTACTGCATGTTCTCACTTATAAGTGGGAGCTAAAGGATGAGAATGCATGGACACAGAGGGGAACAACCCACACTGGGGCCTATCAGAGGGTGGAGAGTGGGAGGAGGGAGAGGATTGGGAATATAACTAATGGATACTTGGCTGAATACCTGGGTGATGAAATAATCTGTACAACAAACCCCTGTGACACAAGTTTATCTACATAACAAACTTGCACGTGCACCCCTGAACTTAAAACACAAGTTAAACAAAAATAAATAACGACAGTGAACATAGTAAAAATTGCCTAACATTAAAATAACCCTTGAGAATTCAAAGTCCCATAGATATGGCTTTGTGGATCCCAAGCTATAGCTTAGTATGTCTAACACAGATGCTTTTCTCTCAACATGGGAACAGATTGCTATGCCTGTGTTTGGGCACCAGATGAGGTATTTGGCTTGTGTTTAGGGATTATGATGAATGCAAAATGGTTTTGAGTTGTTTGTTTTATGTTGGTTAAGTGTGAATAGTTTGCATATATTTAAATAAGTGTATAAATGAGGGAAAATCACTGGAGAGGCCACTGCTAGTACATAGTGTGCTGGCCAATTCTATTAATTCAACACTTACAAAAATGATTGAAACCATTTTTTATATTTTTTATTTTTGAAAATTTCAAACCTGGAGAAGAGTTAAAAGAATAATATAATGATAATGAATGCTTATATACCCAACACCTAGCTAGTTTCATCAACTGTTAATCTTTTACCACACTAATACTCTCTCTCCTTCTCTAACACACAGACACACCACACACACACACACACACGCACACACTGTGTATTAGTTATAATGAGGTTTCACAAATTGAGTATGCACTTGTAACCAGCACTCAGATCAAGAAGCAGAACATCATTAGCAACCCTGGAATTCCTTCTTGGGTGCCCTTTCTGACATCACCTCCTAGGGATATCCATTAGTCTGGCTTCTAATGACTAAATTGGTTTTGTGTGTTTTTTAACTTGATGTAAATGAAATCACATTTTACATGCTCTTTTTAGAGTCTGGCTTCTTTTGCTCAACATTATATTGGCCAGGTTCATCCAAGTTTTCCTGTACAGTTCTCTTTTCTGCTTAGCTCTGTCTTTGTGGCTATTGCTATTCAAGGCACTGACTTTTTTGAAGCATCCAGGCAAGTTGTCTTATAGAATGCTCTGGAATCTGGATTTGTCTGATATTTCTCTTGGTTAGGTTCAGCGTAAGCATTTTCGCAAGAATCCAACAAAGGTGAAGTTGTCTGCTTCCCACTGCATTCCATTATGGGGCACATAGCATCAGTAGGTCCCATTATTGAAGACGCTAAGCTTGATTGCTTTGTTAAGCCAGCATCTGACAGATCGCATTACCTGTTTGTAATTAACGAGTAATCTTTGGGAGGATACTTTGAGGTCACGTTAATATCCTTTATCCAACCAACTTTTTACTCAATCATTTTAGCATCTATTGATGATCCTTGCTTGAATCCATTGTTTTGTTGGAAATGAAATACTTAAGAAATTCTCCTGTAAAACTAAGACACTCTTAAGTATTAATGTTTCCTAACCTCCAGCCTCTGCAAAGATACAAGATAAACATATAGGCTATTCCCTGTTTTTCTACAGTGTTCCACTTTCTACCTTGTCTGTCCTATTTTGTACCCTGAGAGGGTGATCCTGAACCCTGCACCATCCACATTGCCCTGCAGTCAGGTTTCTGGTTGGGTGTCACCCATGAGAGCCTGCTACAGGCAAGACTTCCAAGGGCAAGAAGAGAGAGTAGTCAGGGGCCCCTCCTGACTTCCAGCTTCAGCCCTTTCAGCCTTAGGAATAGTAATAGCTTCCTGCTCTTCCAGTCTTTGGGTGCCTTGATATTTCTTTGTTCACTTAACCCTGTCCACACCTTTATAAGTAGTCATTTCATTAAAAAAAATCTCTTTTTTAACCTATCTGAAAACTTCTGCTTCCAGCCAGGACTCTAGCTGATTCAGTAAGTTTCACTCCAAATCTCAAGTTTTGATGTGAAGGGTGGGGTTTATACTGTATTTTTGTCCATCAATCAGGCAGGGTTCCTGGATAGAGGAATGAGTTACAAAGGGGAGGACAGGCTGTAAGAAAAAGGCAGGAAAAGAGTGTGTAGTACCCCAGGATTGGTAATAGTGAGCACCATGATCACCCTGGATCTGAAGGGGCAGTGAGAGGGACCATGACTTTTGGGTAAGGGACACAGCAGACTCATGGCAACCCTGCAGTGAGAAAACCAGAAGAGTAAACACTGAGTCTGCTGGCTTCTCTACCTCCTCTCTCCTGCTGCTGTTCCCACTGACCAGACTTGACAGATCCACCCAGTTCCTCCTTCCTGGAGCAGAGCAGGGTGGAGAAGTGGGGGAGCAGGATCTGAGAATATCCAAAATGTGCCTTAGTTCTCCTTAGTTCCTGGCCCAAAATATGCCATCACACCCAAACACACCAAATCCCAAGTGGACTACAAGATCGAGAAGGCTCAGCCTGGTGTTTAAGAACCATCTTTGAGAGGTACTAAGTATTATGATGAAGAACGAGGTTTTCAATTTCAGCTGCATGCTTGGACCAGCAACTTGACCCACACGAGCCTTATCTGTAAAAAGGGATATGAACAGTAAGTACCTGCTTCTAGATGTATTTGAGGATTAACCTCTGGAGGACCTCAAGATGGAGCAAATTTGTCCCCAGAAAATATCTTGATGTAGAAAGGATACTGATTTTGAAGCCTGAACTCTTGGGTTCAAATCCTGCCACAGGGTGCTCTTCCTCCGTGTGGCCTTAAGTTCTCCAAGCCTCAGTTTCCTTGCTATAAAATGGAGCACAAACACCCACTTCACAGACTTAGATGAAGACCAAAGCAAATGAGATAAATGTACACGAAAAGGTTTTCTAAAGTGGAATGGCACTCTGCTAATGTTCAGCACTATAATTAATAAGCCAGCGAAGAGTGTTCTGTGGCAGGCATTTTTCTGATGATCTTCATTGCTACTCTCTTGTTGACTCAGGACATGTCAACAGATGACTTCCATTCAACCTAAATGTCCCTTGCCCAAGCTAATTGCTAATTTAGACTTAAACTGTGCCCAACTCACGATTAGAATTCAAACCTTGGAACTCCATTAGGGATGCATAATGCTACATTTTCCTTCACTGAAATTAATCAGCTGCAAATGATTAAATTACTATATATAGTGTGAAACACAACAAAGCTGTAATTTTTATATAAATTCCAGAATGTTACATTATTTCCCTTCAGCACTGACATCGGAATAATTCCTCCACAATCATTGCTTTGTCTTCTGTAAAATAAAATTTTAAAAACCCATTGCTCTTCAAGCGTACCAAAGTCTGAGTTCAATATTTAATATGATTAATGTTTACTGTATTTGTTGTGGGGTTGTCTGCTAATTGTGGCGTTAAACCGCACCCCCTTCATCATCTTTGGGGGCTGAGCGATGTTGGTTCAGAACCACTGTTTGAGAAAGTATCAATTAAAATTCAGCTCCATTGAACACATGAATCCTTTTTGTTGTTTGTTTGTGGTGCCCGGCATATCCGGTGGCAACATTCTCCTTCACTCCCCTTCTCCTAACTACAAGAACAGTTGGAGATTCCAGGCAGCTTCTGAGGAAGGATGTGGTGAAGCCACAGGCTTGCTCAACAGGCAAATGGATGCCAGAGATATCCAGGGTGCAATGCCAGCAATAGGCTTCTCTAGTGAAGCCCTCAACGCTGGAGGGGAATGGGAGTGGTAATTAAAGCAAGGCCTGGATGCGGGTGTGGCACTTCATGACCCGAGATTGTGTGTGTCTTTAAATTTTGTGTCCTAGCCACCTCACTCTTAAGGACCTGACCTCTTTACGTTTTGCACCCCAGGCACCTCGTCTGCCCGTCTGCCCCTCTGACTGAGTACTGAATTGACAGTCAGAAAACATGGAATGATGAACCAGTGTGAATAGGCTCTGCCATGATTAACCTTGGGTAAGTCCCTTTACCTCTCTGGGTCTTAGTTTTCTCATCTACACAACAGGAATAATTATCTCTGCTGGGAAGAGTTAGGAATGAGACCATGCTTTATAAATTGCAGGATGCTCTCCAGATATGGGGGTTGTTGCCACTGAGCGACAGATGTTCCTCTAGCCTTCCTCCCTACTGTGGCAGATCTTCTGGTTCCCTCCTCAAAGCCCTGCAACCCTTTTGGGAAAAACCCTGGGGAAAGTCTTGGAAATGCCACCAAACAAGGACTCTCAGCCCCTGTGCGGCCTCCAAAGCCCAGTGAATAAGACTCCCAAGTCTGTTGCTGCTTTCAGCTGCTAGGGCTCTATTCTGCTGCTGGCTTTGAGGCCACACTGTGTCAGCTATACTGAGGCCACCTGGCAGTGGTGGAGTGATCTCTCCCCTCACCCTCTCCCATTCTTATCAGTTCTGAAGGACAACTTCCTTACTCTCCCAGGGTTTCCTGAAGAATGTATGGGCAAACCATTCTTCCAGCTTCTCTTGGTAGCCCCTCTCTGTTGAAAGCCCATACAGAAAACCATGGAGACTGGCTCCCAAGTCTCCTCTCTCCATGCCCACAAGCACCTGAAGATATATTTTAGTATTTTAATAACCTGTATGGACATGCTGGTGCACCCTGGAAAACATCAGCTCTAGGTCAAAATACGAGTTTCAACCAGGCACGGTGGCTCTTGCCTGTAATCCCAGCACTTTGGGAGGCTGAGGAGGGCAGATCACTTGAGGTCAGGAGTTCCTTCCTGTCATCTTCCTCACCCCTGTGAACCAAGCCCACCTCAGCAGATCCCTGTGTGCTAGTGGGCGATCCTTTCATCGTCACTGGAAATAGCTCTCTCCTGGACTCTCAGTAGCTAGAAGGTGGGGCTCTGAATACTTAAGCCTCCACCAGCTACACAAGAATAGGAAGCAACCATGTACCATTTTGACATTGAGTTGTTCTTCCAGAATTAGGGAAAGATTTCTTTCTACTGAATCAATTCGAACCTTCTCCATGGATCTCTTTCTTGCTGTGTCATTCCTGGCTAATGGACTAAGAAACACTCAGGTTGGGGTGGGATTGAAATGCATATCTTTTTTTTTGTTTTCTTTGAGATGAAGTCTCACTCTGTTGCCCAGTCTGGAGCGTGGTGATGTGATCTCGGCTGTCTGCAACCTCGGCCTCCCGAGTTCAAGTGATTCTCCTGCCTCAGCCTCCTGAGTAGCTGGGACTACAGGTGCATGCCACCACACCCAGCTAATTTTTGTATTTTTAGTATAGACAGTGTTTTACCATGTTGGCCAGGCTGGTCTTGAACTCCTGACCTCAAGTGATCCGCCCACCTCGGCCTCCCAAAGTGCTGAGATTACAGGCATGAGCCACTGCTCCTGGATGAAATTCATATCTTGACCTAGAGCTCATGTTCAGCCAGGATGCACCGGCATGTCCATGCAGGTTATTAAAATACTGAAATATATCTGTATCAGCTGGTCTGTAGTCACTGCCAAGTGCCCATCTGTGTCGCTGCTGCCCATCCTCTTCTCTGGGTCCCCTGGACTCCCTGGAATCCAAGAGAAGGGGCCTGGCACGCCAGGGATGTCCAGGGGGCTGCTTTGGCTCTAGAGCCAGGGTTCTTTCTGATTGATTGGTTCTTGGGCCACATTGGTTCATTAGTTTGAAGATCACCTGACCCTTTCAGCTAATTAATCACACTGCTTTTTACAGATAGCCACTTTGGACCCCTGTGGCAAGAATGTGTTGGGTTCTATTTTAAAGCATACTGAAGCTCCTTGTAAAATGATTTCAGTGCCAAACAGTCTTGTCACTGGACATCACTGCCCTTGATAAAATTTCCTTTCCATCAACAAACTCCAGCCTGGCAATCCCAAACTGCCCCGTTATCAATATGCTTTCAGAAAACAGCAATAGTCAATACATACTGAGTGCTGGTCACAGCCAGGCACTGCACCAAGGGCTCTATATGCAAGATCTCATTGAATCCTCTCTGTAATAGTGTGACTTGTAGCCATTATTATTATTATCATTTAACGGATGTACAGACTAAGATTCAAAAACTTTGGGTAATTTGTTTGAGATGTTCCACTAGAAGGCAGCAGGGCTGGCTTTAAACCCAGGCCGAGGGACTCCAAAGTGCTTAACTTTTAAGCTAAACTTGTTAGTATATAGCCTTATATGTGTTCATTATTTTGTTGCTGTTTTTATTGTGTGATGTCTTAGTCTATTTTATGTTGCTATAACAGAATACCACAAACCGGATAATTTATAAAGATAAGAAATATATTTCTCACGGTTCTGGGAGTGGGAATATCAAGGTGCTAGCATCTGAGAAGGACTTTCTTGCTGCATCATCCCATGGTGAAGGGCAAGAGGGTGAGACAGGGAGAGGGAGAGAAAGCACAAGAGAGGGACAAACTCGCTTTTATAACAAACCACTCTCTTGATAACAAATCTACTCCTATGAAAGTGACATTAGTCTAGTAGAACAGCATCCTCATGACCTAATCACCTCTTAAAGGTCCCCACCCCCCTACACTGCAGTTGCACTGGGGATTAAGTTTCCAACACATAAATCTTGGGTACAAATTTAAACCATAGCATGCATTCCCTACTACTGTAGCACCCCAGGGAATGTGTGTGTTCGTGTGCACATATGTCTGTGTGTGTGTGTGTCCGAGAGAGAGAGAGTTAGAATGAACATCTGTAGGATGAAGGGAGAGACACATGTAGTTACTTCCAGATCCTTGTTCCCTGTCATTTTATGTGGTTTCTTCTGATCATCTGGATTGTCTGAAATAGAAAGCTCCTGTATGTCAAGGGCTTTGATTGACTTTTCTCAAAACCTAGGTGAGTGCCCCCATGCAAGCAGGTCCTCTGTGACGGCATCTAGATCACAATGGGGATGAATCAGTAAGTGAAAACTTCTGGGGAAGGAGGGAGGAGTCTGCTAGCTTCTTTCTGCCAAGATGAGCTGCGGTAGTCCTTTTCCTCCCTCCCCTCCTTTCTTTCTTCCCTCGTTTCTTTTCTTTTTCTTCCATGTCATTACGGAGAAGGGCACTGGAGGCTTACTGAAGAGCTTTGAGAAATAGCATAGAAGGCCCAGAGCATTACTTGTTTCCAGATGGTATGTGTGCGTGTGGATCTGGGGGGAATGTGGACCGTTTTGGTGGACTCTGGTGGCTTTTCCCCTGCTGGATTCCCTTTGGAGTGGTTTTCTTGGACGTGGGCAAATTTAAGATTTAAAACAAAATTCAAAGTGATGGAGTGCGGCTGACTTCTCTGAGGGTTTCTTCACTTCCAGATCAAGCTAAGGCTGTACCCTGGCTATGAATAGCCCAGCCTCCTGTGGTGTCCAAGCCTGGAGAGATTCTGTCTCATTCACTCCTGGTAGACTGGTTAACCCGGCCACAGGCTCCTTTTGCCTTCAGCGCTCCCCAACAGCCGATGGCTGGCCAGCATGTCCACCATCTTCATGCACAAGGTGTGCTCTACATTAAAGATCCTCTAACCATACAGCATTGTGGATAAGATGATTATCTGCTTTTTTCCTTCACCTTTGAGCCCAAACTCTCACTTACCATTAGGGCTTGAATGAGCTGCAAATCCAATGCAATCTAGAAATGCCCACCAAAAAGACGAATTTGAACTTTGCCTAGGGCCAAATTACGGGGGATAGGGAGGGTAAGGGAGGAAGAGAAAACATATTTCTTCTGCCTGTATCATTGCATTTACCCTAAAACCTTGTCTCTCCTACTGTGGGAAGAACTGAGCCATAGGGCCAGCAATCTGAGTGTGGGCAGCTTCTGGGTTTGAGTGTTTTCTTTCAAGTTCCCCCTCCCCGCCAGAGAATAAGCCCTCTGCTCCATGGCTGGCGTGGGCTGAGATCTGAGATTCTGTTAATTGTGGAGTGAAATTCTCCCAAGGAGGCGGACATTGCCATTGCGCCACCTGCTGGAAGATTGAAAAAGTATTTGAAACTCAGGGTTCAGCTATCCAACCAGTGGCTTCGCAATCAAAATGATTATTTTTCATAATTCCCATTTTGTCTTACTACACAAGTTACACAGGTTCATTGAAGACAACTTAGGAAGTTCACAGAAGTAAAACAAAACAAAAGTCATCCATAATTCTGTCACCCAGAGATAACCATTTTTTATATTTTGTTGGCTTTCCTTCCAGTCTTTTTTCTAGTTGGATATATGTAAATTCATATATGCTATTGATATCATTCAATAAACATTATTTTATAACTTGCTTTTTAAACTTAACAATAAATCTTAAATACCTTTACCTATTATTAATTATAATCTGCAACATGAGTCTTGCTTAGTACTTTTTTAATATTCCTACACCATACATCTACAGTCTATTCCTATACATTAATTACAATGTTTCTATGCTTTGATTTTTACTGAGTCTAGTTTCTCCCCTCCTTTTTCCTCCTCTTCTTTCTTTCCTTCTCCTTCCTTTCTTTCCTTCCTGCTTTACTTCTTTTTCTCTTTACTTATTTATTTCTCTCCCCTAACAAAAGTCTGCCATAGATGTTGTTTGGGGCAGTTCCTTGGGTGTGTCTATCTCACCCCGTCATAGAAGGAGCTCTAGAGACTTTCGCGTGGACCCTGGAGCTCTCTTCCAGGTGGGCTCTGCAGTCCTGCCATGAAAATAGAACATTCTTCACTCCGAATAGAGGCAGACAAGAAAGATGGAATCCCCATCTAGTGCCTCCTCCAGTGCCTAGTGAAAAACAGGAGGCTAGCAATTGCTGATCATGTGCTCTGTACAAGCCGGACTCCATTCTTAGAACTTGATATGAATTATCACACATAAGTGTCACAAAACCCTTACAAGATATAGTCCTTCCCTTCCTTCCTTCCTTCCTTCCTTCCTTCCTTCCTTCCTTCCTTCCTTCCTTCCTTTCTTCCTCCCTCCCTCCCTCCCTCCGTCCCTTCCTTCCTTGCTTCCTTCTCCCTCCCTCCCTTCCTTCCTTCTTTCCTTTCTTCCTTTCTTTCACTGGACAGCTTAGGACACCAAGCTTAAGAAAAGCACACAAACTTGCCCAAGATCACCAACAAGTAAAGCCTTAAACCTCAGTGTGCAATGACTGCCTGTTAAAACAAAACAAAACAATATTTCCAGCCTCTCTTGACAAATCAGAAGATTTGACAACACAGGTTTGCATTCCACTGTAACAATCATTAGCTGGAGCTGAGTAGTGGTGCCCATATTCCATCAGTACAGGCTCTCCAGTTGTACTGTCTCCACTTCTCATACATTCTCCTCATGGTAGAAAAGGACTCCCTACTGCCAACGGCACAATGGGACTGACTGACTTCAACTAACAGACTAAGAGAGTTTACAGAAAGAAAACGACAGGCTCAGAGCTGTATATTCCTGGCTCTGTCTGAGAACCAAGATGCGTCTACAGCTGCCCTAAAAAAAAATCATCTGTCTCTCCTATCCATGGGTGTGGAAAGGGATGTGGAGGATGCTAGACCATGGAGGGAGGAGCATAACTACAGTTCAGACTGAAGTCGTTGCTATGGGTGCCACTTCCAGAGCTACTAGAGTAAGTACACACATGGGTGTATGGGAGCAGTTGTTAGCTTCGTTGGCTGATGGTGGCCTGTGCTAAGTGAAGTTGATATAATATAGAACAGGAATTGGCAAACTTTTTCTGAAAAAAAGACAGGCAGTAAAAGTTTTGGGCTTTGTGAACCATGAGGTCTTTGCTGTAACTAAACTCCACTGTCAGAAGTGCTAGAGCAGCCATAGACAATATGTACATGAACGGGCGTGGCTGTGTTCCAATCAAGCTTTGCTTACACAAACAGGTGGCAGTGTTATTTACAAAAGCAGGCCATAGTTTGCCAACTCCAATATAGAAGAAGGAATCGAAAGATTTAAGAATAGGGCTGTTGGAGTGGATTTAGCCTCTGCAAACGATCCCATTTAAACTAGTTGGATTTTATTTTCTTCAATTGAGCCCTCACTCATACATCATTTCCACACTTTCTGTGACTTTTGAAAATGGTCAAAATAAGACATTTCCCTGCATACAATTAGGGATTGGGGATGGGATTTCAGATTTGGATTATCTGACTTGGGTTATTTTCTAAATTGTGTTAGTGATTGGGTTCTCAGCAGACCAGAACCCCCATGGAGGCTCCTCTTTGGACCCAGAACTTCTTAGGCTAGTGGAACCAGCAGAGGCAGAATCACCCCAAATGGGATTGGACCTGTGGGGAGGCCACGGTCCTAGAAACGCATCCTTCAAAGACCAGGCTGACAATATCATTTAACACAGCAATTTCCAGTCCCTGAGATGAGATTTGAGTCAGAACGAGAGGGAAGTAAAAACAATTTAAAAAGAGAAGCTGGAGAAGTCTAGGCATCTCTCATAAGTCTGGAGTCTCCGGATTCAAGAGTTCGGCCCAGAAAATGAGAAAGTGGGTGGAGAAAAGAACTGCCAGGGAGTGAAAGGCTGTCAGGGACTCTTATGTTTGTGTTTTACCTGAAGCCCCTGGTGGTGTGGGTAGTATAGGGAAAAGGGGAAAAGAGGACACTTCTAAGCTGGCTTAGTATAAATATATACCATTCTCTAAAGTTGGAAGGGAAGGGGCCTCCTCCATTACAAGGAACTCCCTGTCCTGTGTCCATGGATAACACTGCTGGCTGACAATGGTGCTCATTTCCAGTGAGCTCTGATGTGGTCCTGGTGGGGATTTATAGGCTTGTCAACTCAGCCTTCCGGGCAGCCTCCTGCAGTCAGTCAGGGCAGACCTTATAATAATGAATATAGTTCATACTTATAGGGCATCTGTTGTGTCTCAGGCCCTAGGCATTAGCTCCTCTAATTCTCACAACCCTATGAAGTACAATCTTCTCTCTGTATCCATGGGAGATTAGCTCCAGGACCCCTACAGATACCCAAATCCACAGATGCTCAAGTCCCTTATTGAAAGTGACGTAGTATTTGCGTATCACCTATGTGCATCTTCATGTGTACTTTAAATCATCTCTATGTAAGTCTCATGACTTATAACACCCAATGCAACATAAATGCTATGTAAATAGATGTAATACTATATTGGTTCTTACCATTTTTATAGTAGTATTGTTATTTTTTATTGTTTTTCTCACGAATATTTTTGATCCATGATTGGTTGCATCCACAGATGCAGAACCCACAGATACAGAGGAGTGACTGTAAATACGATTATTTTCCCCATTCTGCTCAAGATGAATTCCATTTTCCTGCATCCCAGATTCAATCCGCATGGCTTATTTTACACAAGAAGAAACTGGTCACATCACAGCAAATTGTAGAACTAATGAGATCCCAGATCTCTAAATAATCAGTCCATTTTCCCACACTGCTTCCTTGGTACAGGGTATGTTAGCATGCAGGCTAAGCTGCTAGAACAAAGAAACCCAAAAACACACTGGCTTAAATAAAAGAGAAATGTTATGTGTCTCTCACTAGGCAGTCCTAAAGTGAGCAGTTCAAGATACCTCTGCTCTATCAGATAATTCAGGACCCAGTTCGTGTGGCCTTGCCAGATTCCAGGATTGGGGATGACCTAGGTCTGGCCAATCAGAGTCATGTTAATTGGTCCAGTGCCCCAAGCAGGATCAAAGAGAGTCAGCCTAGGATTTCTGTTGGAACCATGGGGAAAAAGTCACTCCTTCTTATATGGGAGTGGCTAAACAAATCAAACATGGGCCTTAGAAGGCTTTTGGCTATTTTTACCACTGCAAGAGAAGACCCCAAGAGTGATGAAAATAACAGGGAA
Organism: Homo sapiens; assembly: GCF_000001405.40. Taxonomy (NCBI): domain Eukaryota; kingdom Metazoa; phylum Chordata; class Mammalia; order Primates; family Hominidae; genus Homo; species Homo sapiens. Next base: position 32,048,477 of record NC_000011.10, on the reverse strand, counting down.
AATTAGAGCCAGCACAATGAGAGAAATAGATTCCAATGACGTTTGAGACCCAGAATCTGTCTTATGCATGAAGCCAATCTACCTCTGGACTTTTAAATTTTGTAAGCCGATAAGTGTTCATTTTTGACCAAAACTGTTTGTGATGGGTTTCTCTTATTTACAATGGAAAGAATCCTAAAAATATTGAGTTATTTCCTTAAGACCCACATTTCCTGCTCCTCATCCAGTTGCTATAGTGGGGCTCACAGCACCAACTCTGGAGGAAGAGGAGAGAAATTCCACTGAACTAAGAGGCCTGACACTTATCCTTGCAATGGCAAGGATATCTCACTCCTTCCTCCCAAGCCTCTTCTTAGCACGGCTCACTACCTCCTTCTCCCAAACACCATCCACAGGCAGCTCTTATATGGCTTCTTTTTTATTTAATATTTATTTTAACTTGATTTTACCTGAATATGAGTGTGTGTGCCTGTGAACGTATGTCCAAGCATGTGTGACAGTGGTTCTCAAAATTCAGTGTGCATCAGAATCACCTGGAGAACTTAACAAACACAGTTTCCTGGACCCAACCCCCAGATTTCATAATTCAGCAGGTCTGGGTGGAGCCTAACAATTTGCACTTCTAACAAGCTCCCAGTGACGCTGATGCTGCTGTCCAGGGACTATACTTTGTGAACTACTGGCATATGGGATGGGGGTAAAGAGTAACACCTGCCATTTCTAGAATGTTTTTCAATTTGTAAAGACTTTCAATGCAATGTATTTTAATTGAACCTTCTGGCTATCATGTAAGATAGGTAAGACAACTATTACTGATCTATCTATTTTACTCTGACCGGAAAACTCAGGCTCAGAGCGATTAAATGATTGACCAAGTACTCACAGCTAGGATTTGCGGAAGCTGAAACCAAAAATCAGAGCTCCTGACTGGAGTTATTTTTTGCATTCCAGTATGCTATCTGGTATGAAAATATAATTCAATATGAAGAAATGGCGGAAGGAGAGAGAAAAAGAAGAGAGGAGGGATCAACGGTAGGTGGGATGGCTAAAGAGAGAGAGTGAGAAGAGAGAGAGGGAGAAAGAGAGAGAACCTGGAACCTAAAATTGAAACCCTGGAAAACATGTGGCACACTGAAGACAATCATGGGCTTGGCATTGGTCAGCCCTGAATTTGGTCCCAGTTCTGCTACTGTTTCATCCTTGAAGCTTAAGAATATTTTTTAATGTCTTTGATCTCCAATTATGAAATGGAGATGATGACACCTACTTTGAAAGATTATTGTAATTATTTAATGAAATAACACACTCAAGCTTTTAGCAAGACCCTGGCCCAGAGTTAGCTGTGCACAAACTTTAGCCATTGGAATTTCATTTAATCCTTGCAACCCTTCTGCATGAGATGTTTTATTAGTGAAGGATATACTGAGTCACTGTAACAAATGACGTTTCCAGACAGCTTGCAGAATAAAAAGTGTATGTCTCACGCACGTGACAATTTGAAGTGAATGTTCTAAGTTGATGGGCAACCCTTCTGTGCACAGTCATCCTGGACTCAGGCTGATGGCAGCTTTTTCAACACTTGTCTTCCAAAATCTCTCTTGTCATTGCCATTAACCAGCAAACACAAAGGGGAAAGAGGAATTAAATGAGGCATAGCCTCGTTTTAAGGTGTCTTCCCACAAGGGACACATATCTTGCCCCTCATATTCTAATGCAGAAGTCTAAGTGACATGGCCATATCAAGTTTCAAAAGAGCTGTTGGGAGAGAGTCCTCCTTGGACCTCTTGCATTCCTACATGTCTTGCTGAATATACCAGAACTTCAAGGATCTCACTGCTCTTTTATTCTGGCTATTTCTTAGGGTTGTTTATACAGACAATTACCTTAGGAAATGAAATTACATCTACTTATCCTTCCCTATGACACACACACCACCAGGGACAATGAATAGGCTTGCTTATTGCTTACTATAAAAGTGATGGATTCCCCAAGCTTGGTGCTCCTCAGTTGCAACACAAACACTCTGCATGCATAACATCCATCTGGGGCCATTGTATTATCCCCCATAAGACCCAGGGCAAGAAGAACCAATGCAAATATGCTGATGTTCCTGCTGCTTGATGTGTCATGAGTACTAAACTCCTTTGTCTCTGACCTAAGGGTCTTGTGTCTTCCATTAGCACCAGTGAAACAGTCAGAAGCTAACATATTAGCTTTCAGTAAGGTAGAATCAAATCCCAGACTTGGCAAGAATTTGAGAAATATGGTCCTTACCTGGGTAGCAATATCTTAGCTACAATCTTAGACCTATAGAAGAAGGACAAAAGGGATTTTGGTGATTAGTTAACAGTCTCTTTCATAGATGTGCTTATCTCTATTAGGAAATGAAAACTCGAAGAGGCAAAGTGATATTGATATATGATTTAGCTCTGTGTCCCCACCCAAATCTCATCTCGAATTGTAATCTCCACATGCCATGAGAGGTATCTGGTGGGAGGTGATTGGATCATGGGGGCAGTTTCCCCTATGCTGTTCTTGTGATAGAGAGGGAGTTCTCATGAGATCTGATGGTTTAAAAGTGTTCAGCACTTCCCCACCTCATGCTGTCTCTCTCCTGCTGTCTTACAAGTACCTGCTTCCCCTTCACCTTCCACCATGATTGTAAGTTTCCTGAGGCCTCCCCTGCCATGTGGAACTGTGAGTCAATTAAACATCTTTCCTTGATAAATGACCCAGCCTCAGATAATATCTTTACAGCAGTGTGAGAACAGACTAATGCACAAAGCAATTTGCCCAAGGTCTGGCAAAAAGCAGAGCTGTGATTTGAACAAGTCTGTTCAATTTCTTCCACTAAAATGAGAAGACACACCACAGGAATGTATTATTGCAGCCATGCAAATGTGTACAGAAGCCCATTTACTGTGAAATTAGTGTTAACCCTAACCCCACCTTAATCCTTACCCTAACCCTTCCAAGGCTCTGGGAGTGGCCCTAGTAATGTGTTCACATGGAATTGGATGCCGTGTTAAAGAGCTTGGACTTTAGCATATAGGCAGTAGGGAGCCATATGAAGTTCTTGAGCAGAGATATAATATTGTGACTGCAATGTGGGAGGTAAATCGGATGGAGAGAAACACTGGAGGCAAGGATACTAGGTAGGAAACAGTGGTCATGGTGCCTGGCCGAGAGTAGTGTTTGATGTGTGCTGAATGAATGGCTTTGGTGAAAAATGATAATGGCCTAAACCAGTAGAAGGGCAGGATGTATGGGGGTGAGTGGCCAGATCATAAATTCCTGCAACATCCCATGCTTGGGAATCATGCACATTATATTCAAGACGGCAGCTACTTTTAGGGGCAGGAAAGGAAATGTGACTGGGGAAGTCAAAGGGGCTTCAACTCCATTGATAATATTTTATATATTAAGCTGGGTAATGTGTACTCAGGTAGTTCCTAAACTATACATATTCTTTTTCGCTTTTAACTTATGACCATGAAAAATTCTTTATACCTTTTGTGAGTATTAAATATTTCATAATAAAATGTGTAAAACACATTTTAGGGGCAGAATAGAAAGGGTTGTATTTTGAAGCGATACCTGTGTACAGCCCTTCCAAAAGATCTTTGCATTTCTACAGAAGACAATTCATTAACATAAAGAATATCTGAGGGAGGAAGATCTAGTTCCAGAAACCTGTAGGTGGGAAAGATATTTTCAGGGGAAAGAGGAATCTTCAGGGCCTGCCTGCAGCCACATGCATGACTGGCCCTGACTGTCCTACCCAACTGCATACAGGACTGGACCTGGGGGGCCCTTAGGAGGGTGAACCGTACCTACCCTGTGGCAGGGAATCTCCCTGGCGAGCCAGCCAGTGTTTGCTGAGCACCCGCCCCCCTCCACCACTGCAGGGGGCATGTCTGCAGAAGCCATTTTAGTGGCAACACCTCTTGCCCCCAAATGCTTGAGTTCCCTTTGTGAATTTTTCTTAATTTTCTTTAAAGCCAAAATGCGCATGCTAATCTTTCTCCTCTCTCAGCTTCACATGAAACCCTGGCACACAGCCTTGCATTATTCATGAAGGCTTACATTAATCAAATGCTTCAAAGTTTCATAAAGTTTCTATTTTGGAGCACATTCTTTGTAGGGTGGGCACTTAGTGGACAATGGGATTGTATTTTGGAGCTCCTCCAGCATTCTTAATTCCCATCTGCTTTATTTGCTGCAGCTGTTTTATTTCTTCCCCAGAGGCCACATCTCAGAATTCTGTAGTATATAGAGTGTTTTCAAATAAATGTGAGCACCAGGAAATGCTTTCTAGGTTGAGTGGATGCAAAAGAGATGAAAACTGTTACACTTGGTTTGTCTTCTCTGACACATGTCTCCCTGTGATGCCCACATGTATGATTGTGGCAGAGGCTGCTGCATGCTCTCCAGGGCATTTTCTCTTTTTTCCTTAAAAATTGGATGCCAACTTTTAGCTGAGCCATATAGAATAAGGACTACATTTCCCAGCCTTCCAGAATCCTCCCTTGCAGTGGCCATATGACCAGCTTCTGGACAATGGGTGTAATGGAAGTGTTGCCCCATGACCTTGGGGCATGCCCCCCTTTCCTCTCTGCTTTCCTGCTGGCTGGAATGTTCTATGATGGCTGGAGCTTGGACTATGAAGAGGAATCAATGTGCTGAGCAAAGCAACGAGATAGAAATTGCTGAAATCCCTAACCATTGGAATGCCTTACCAGCCCTGACTTCCTAAAAGGGAGAAAACTATCATCTTTTATAAGACATTATTTTCTAGAAGAGGGTGAAGCTTAAGGAGGTAGAGGAGGGTTGTGATGCACTTACTAATTCATCCCTGAGGGTTTTGTAAGAAATACTTTAATTTGCAAATTAGAGAATATTTTACTGGTGTAATATTGAAGGTCATAATGGAAAGGACTGACCTCAAGGTGCCAAATCCTGAAAGCATAAACATTTTCCTGTATAACATTAGACCAACTCGCTCCATGTCTCTTTTGCCAATACCCACAGTACGAGCATTAATGCACCGAGTCTCCCAGGAGTATTCTCCATTGCACTAGAAGGAAAGAGGAGCTGACCCAGCTAAGCAAGGATAACTTGCCCTAACATCGAGTTGCAAATGGTTATTGGATTATTGGTATATTTCTCATTATAAAAGCACAAGAATAAAAATCACCAATATAACTAAGAGTGTAATTGGATTGTTTGTAATACACACAGGATAAATGCTTGAGGGCATGGATGCCCCATTCTCCATGATGTGATTATTTCACACTGTATGCCTGTATTAAAGCATCTCGTGTACCCCAGAAATATATACATCTACTATGTACCCATGAAAATTAAAAACTTACCAGTGATCCCACTACCAAGTAATCATTTTGATCTATTTCTTCTTAGTCCTTCTCTTCCTTTTTTTTTTTGTTGTCCAACATTACACCAAGATTTTTTTATTATTATTATTATTATACTTTAAGTTCTGGGATACATGTGCAGAACGTGCAGGTTTGTTACATAGGTATACATGTGCCATGGTGTTTTTCTGCACCCATTAACCCATCATCTACATTAGGTATTTCTCCTAATGCTATCCCTCCTCTAGCCCCCCACCCCGCCACAGGCCCCGGTGTGTAATGTTCCCCTCCCTGCGTCCATGTCAATGCAAATATAGATGTTTATCTTTTTATAAATGATATCATAGTATATGTATTATTTTGTTGTTGTTTGTTTTGTTTTGTTTCTTGTGTCAGAGTCTCACTCTGTCATCCAGGCTGGAGTACAGTGGCACTGTCACAGCTCACAGCATCTTAGAATTATTCTGCTCAAAAAAATCCTTCTGCCTCAGCCTCCTGAGTAACTGGGACTACAGGTGTGCGCCACCATGCCCAGCTAATTTTTAAAAAATTCTTTATAGAGACTGTCTCACTATGTTGCCTAGGCTGGTCTTAAACTCTTGGCCTCCAGCAACCCTTCTGCCTTGGCCTCCGAAGTGCTCAGATTACAGGCATGAGCCACCGTGCCCTATTTATTACATATTATTTATAATGAATTCTTCTACAATACATTTATTAATCATCTTTACTCCAGACCATCATATGGCTGTATTCTAATATATTGTCCAATTCCTTAGTCTTTTTTTTTTTTGAGATGGAGTTTCTCTCTGTCACCCAGGCTGGAGTGCAGTGTTGCCATCTCGGCTCACTGCAACCTCCACCTCCCAGCTTCAAGCAATTCTCATGCCTCAGCTTCTCGGGTAACTGGGACTATAGGCACCCGCCACCACGCCTGGCTAATTTTTTTTTTTTTTTTTTTTTTAGTAGAGAAGGGGTTTTACCATGTTGGCTAGGCTGGTCTCAAACACCTGCAATCCCTTAGCCTTGTATACATATTTTTTTTCATTTCCTACCTTCTTTTTTTGCCATTATAAATAACACTGGGATGAACATCCTTGTAGATAAGTATTTCCACACATCCTGATTTTTTTCTAGTGAAGTTCTAGAACTGGAATTCAGGAAGATGTAATCACCATTGCTACTATTCCTTTTTTTAAAGCCCATTTTGATGTCATTGATCTTTCACTGTCTCCTCTGGTTGGGCAACTCTCAGTCAGGTTTTCAGAACAATAGCCCTTTGTCTGGTTTATGTTAAACAATATGAGAACTTGAACATTTTCTGTTCTGAAATATTCATAGGTTTTTTTTTTTTAATCTTCTACCATTGCAAGCAGTTAAAAACACAGCCTGGAGAAATGACATTTTTCTTTCAGAAAATGAATTGGTAATTTATTTGAATGAGGCTGGGTAGTTGTTTTAAATTATTACCTGATGCATACCACTAATGAAATGAAGTCCGTTTACATCTTTAAATAACCTTTAATATTTGTACAAGTAAATATCTCCATTTGACAATAATGGAAATTGTCAGAAATTTTCATTTTCTCACAATTTAGCTCACTCACAATGGCTGTCAGACAGCCGGATGATCTGACGCAGCGCACTGCTAATCGTTTCAGCAGAAGACAGTGTTTCAAAGGTACGGGAAAGGAGGTGCAGACACTAATGAAGTTTTATTATCAGAACATAGAATTAGGATTGTGACAAGAGACAATGGTGGCAATGACACGTAGTTAGAATGTTACAGCTTGTGAAGTCTGTAGCTAAATCTCAGGAACAGAAATGTTGAGAAGGGTAGACTGATGACTACCCCTCAGTGGAAACAGACCAGATCTCAGCTTATCTGGCTGGAAGGAAAGCAAAAAAACAAAGCAAAACCAACCAAAAAATCCTAAGAAACAAAAGACAGATTCAAGCCAATCTGTGATTTGTAAAATAAGCCAGGTGCAGGCTTGTGTAAGTATCCTTGACATACCCAAATGATGAAATTGGCATGCTTTGGTATGTTTGTTTTCAAAAACAAGGTGGTAAAAGCTGAATCCAATGGATCACAATTATACTAAGGACTCCAGGTTTGAAATACTGACATCGGTGATTAGAAATTATTTTGTGGGAGAGAGGGAAGGGAGGTAAAAAGAAGGAAGTAGAAAAAGGAGGGTGAGGAGGGTCCATCGTCATCCAAAATGGAGCCCACAGTAACAATCTCAGTGAGATGACCCTTCAGAATAGCCCTTGCCATTTATCCTTCATTCACTTATTAATATTTGATAGATACTTATTGTCTACTAAGTACCAGGCACTGCTCCACTGAACACCAGGATACAGTGGTGAATAAGACACATAAGGCCCCTATTTTCACAATTTATATTCTTTTGGGGGCTAGAGAGAAAATAAACAAATAAGAAAATATGACATATAGCACTATGGGCTATGCAAAGAATTATAATAAAGTGAAGTGATATGGTGCTGGGGAGGCTGTTTTATAAAGTATGTAGTGTGTGGTGGTCTTAAAGCAAGTCTTCAGGTACTTCGATACTGTTCTACTAGTAGGTAGAGTCTATGTCCCTTCCCCTTGCACCTGAGGGGCTTCTGTACCTACCTGGAAGAATAGGACACAAAGGAAGTGGCTATCAGTTTGAAAAGGCCATGCAGCTTCTGCTGATTTTTCTTGGAACATTCACTCTAGGTGCCTTCAGCTGAATGTAAGAAGTCCAGCTATCATGAAGTCTCCATGTGGACAGACAATTCAGAGGAATGAGAGAGAGAGAGACCTGAGCAGCTAGCAGTGCCAGCACCTAGATGTTTGAATCTTCCCAGCCCAGATACATGATGGAAAAAACTTCAAGATGCCCATTGGACAGCAACCACATGAAAGACCTGGAGTGAGAACTCCTAAGCTGAGATCTCACTCTTTCAGACTCCAGAGCCAAATAAATAATTATTAATGTTTAAGCCACTGTTTTGGTGTGGCAACAATAAAGGCCTGGAACAGGGTGATACGGGAAGGTTTCTTTGAGGATATGATGCTTATGCTGAAGACCTCAGTATCATGAAGGAGCCAGGGGAGAAAGAACATTCTGGGCAAAGGAAATGGTGGGAAGATCCTAAGTCAGAAGTGGATTTAGCAAGTTCAAGGAAGGAAAGCAGGCCAGTGAGGCTGAAATGCAACCCAGTAAGAGTGGTAGGAGATGAGTGAAGGCGTGTAGTAGAACTTCAGTTTGTGGGGAGGGTGTGCACTCACTCAAGTAATATCCTACAGTAAGGCTGAGCGTGGCCGTGAGCACCTTCCAAGTTTAACACTGGAACCCTGGTAGAGCTTGAATTCATTTTCTCTCCTGTCCCAGTGTCATGATAAAAAGTGCTAATAAAACTTTCCCAAACCTCATCTAATAACACTGAAGTCCAAGAGAAAGAGAAGGGTGGGTGTTTGGGCACTGCAGTTCTCCCCAGATAGCAGAGGATTTAACACCTTCTTGTTTAAATTAAAAACAAACAAACAAAAAAACAAAAACAAAAACTCCTTGGGCACAAATAATTAAAAACAATACTATATGGATATGTTTCAAGGACTGCAAGCATGCATGAGAATGCCTTTGAACTGTCGGATCACCTGGTCTTAAAAAGTCATTTTGCAGTTTCTACCTTCTTTAAACTGGTAGACCATTTTGTGGCTAATATGGAAATCTAAGAAATGCAAATATTGATACTACCAGAAAGTGAAGGGAAGCAGTCTGAATTTGCATTTTGTGGCAGTTACAAATGTCCTTTAACCTGTAGACAAAGGTCTCTCTGATTGAGGAGTGCCAGTGAATGACATCTAGAAGAGCTGCTCCCAGTACAAGCAGGCAGAGGTTGCTTTCCACAAACTGGACAGAGAAGAGATGGAAGATAGCAAGATTATTTGATATTTTATTTAAGCATCCAGAAAAGGCCAGGACACAAGAATAAAGAGTTAGAGTCCTGCTACACTTTGCAAACAAATAGAAGAGGGCATAGCATGTCCCTGGAATCTCCAAGCCCCTTGCAGATTCTAACTGCCAACTCCTCATCCCAACACTGAGTAGCAAGGCTCTTTGGATGTAAGTGGCCCAAACTCAAATGAAATTGGCTTAAGCAAAAAAGGGGGCCTCATTAATTCACAGACTCAAACTGCAGAAAGCGTAGAGTGGAGCTGAGCTTGGAGAAGCTGGGATCCAGGAGCTCCGTCACCAGGTGGATGCTCTCCCATTTCCTTTCTGCATCTCCCTGCCTGTTGTCTTCATTTCCCTAGACCAGATCCTCCCAAGAGATAGGCTTACATACTTACAGCTTCCTACCAAAGATGCAAAAGACTCTTTCTCCTCAGCTTATATTTAGAAAAATCCCTAAGGATACACCCTGATGGGCCTTGGGTCATTTCGCCACCTTCTTTGGTCAACCATTATGACCAGACAGTCGGGGGTTGTGACTGGCACAAAAGGAGCAAGATCTGTTTCTAGAAGAGGTGAGACGGGGCAATGTTGGACAGATAAAAATGATATTATCTTCTTCCCAAAGGGAAGAATTAGGTGAAGTCTAAAAGCAGAGCTCACAGATCTGAGTGGTACCTCTTCACCCTACATGTAACACTGCCTAAAGCGTAAGATTTAGGGCTGGTGAGACAGAAAAGACAAGGTTTCCATAGTTCAGCTCTTTCAGGGTATGGATTTCCCCTTGTAAATAACTTACACTTTGAGAACACAGATCTCATGGAATCATTGGCTTCTCAGATGGAAGAGACAGTTTAGTCCAACGTCATTATTTTACACATGTGACAAAATTCAAGACCTTCATTTACAATAATTCACAGGCTTGGCACAGTGGCTCCCACAGGTAATCCCAGCACTTTGGAGGGCCGAGGCAGGAGGATTGCAGGAGTTTGAGGTCAACCTGGGCAATATGGAGAAACCCTGTCTCTACAAAAAAAAATACAAAAATTAGCCGAGCTTGGTGGCTTGCACCTGTATTCCCAACTACTTGGGAGGCTAAGGTGGGAGAATCACCTGAGCTTGGGAAGTCAAGGCTACAGTGAGCCATGATTGTGCCACTGCACTCCAGCCTAGGTGATAAGAGTGAGACCCTGTCTCAAAAAAAAAAAAAAAAAAAAGACTCACAGATTTGTAAGGAGGCCAAAAGGCCAGAAATGGGAGCAGCTGTCAGGCTAAGTTGGCTCTGCTGAGAGACTCACTACAACACTGGCTGGAGGTCATGCTATGTAGTTCTCCCCTTTGGTAGTCCTATGGGAGCCTTAAGTGTATATTACTTTTTCAAGATATTTGTTTAGAGTTGGATTTCTGTTCAGACACATCACAATGTTAGCAGTGACCAGAAGCAACCTGATTACATTATCTGTGATCTTCTCACTGTATACCCCCACCACCTCCTACCTACACCCACCCCCACGCCACACAGACACAGACACACCTGTACACTCCTGATCACCTACATGCCTCAGCTTTCACTGTGTCAGTGGAGGTAAAGGTGAGTGGGGGGAGCAGAGAAGCCAGCAAGGAAGCAAGATTTCAATTGGGAAAGATAGGGAACTACAGGAAAGACAAGGAAAGGAGAAGGATGAAGAAGAAGAAAGAGCCTCTTTAAATTGTGAGCTCTAGACAGAGTCTTTCGGGGTCCTCTGAGCGAGGGAAGGAAAGACCTTTGAGGCCCCTCCTGTACTTGTGAGAGGTGGAAAGAAAGAGGAGGAGTTATGGAAAAAATCATTTCCAGACGTTTTGTTCCATTTTTGTTTATATTTTATTTTATTTTATTTTATTTTATTTTATTTTATTTTATTTTTTGAGACAGGGTCTCACTTTGTCTCCCAGGTTGGAGTGCAGTGGCACAATCATAGCTCACTACAGCCTTAAACTCCTGGCTTCAAGAGACACTTCTGCCTCTGCCTCTCAAAGTGCTGGGATTACAGGCATGAGCCACTACGTCCAGCCTTATTATGTGTTTTTAATGTACCTTCTCACTTTCACTCTTAAGATACTGCAGACAGTATTTACAATGGTTTTACTTTTTTAAATGTTGAATTTGTGTTTCTTTGCAGATACTGGGCCACATGGTGACTTGGATTTTTAAGGGTTACACACATGAGGCAACTACAATCCAGAGGAATTTGTGACTATCCTCAGAGGCCACAGCCATTGATGCCTCTTTCACTCTGCCCATTATGTCCCACTGAACAGCTTGGGTGTCAGAGCCAGCCATTTTGCTCTGTGAGGAAGTAATTTTGCAGTTAAATTGGACCTGGTTGCATTTTCTAGTCTCTGCTTTCTCCAAATATCCCAGTACTTAGTTTTTGCTCTGGTTGAAAAAAAAAAAAAAAAAAAAAAAAAAAAAAAAAAAAAACCTACACTAATGGATTAAACAACCATTTGGAAAAGACAGGTAATTAGTCCAAGTGAGTGTGTGTGTGTGTGTGTGTGTGTGTGTGTAAGAAGCTGTGTATGAGTCTAAGGAGGTAATAGTCTTGCCAATACCTAGGCTATCTCTTGAGAATAGTTCAATTATTTACTGACCTTTATATTTAAATTTCTAGTTTGGCCTCTGGCTTGCCCCTGCTCTTCCTTATTTTAAATTGGTATCAAATCCAGCAGAAAAATATGAAGTGCAGTCCCCAGGATGCAGTGTAGTGGTCAAAATGGAGGCTTTGAAGAGAGCCAGACCTGGATTCAAGTCCAGGTGCTGTTACCGTTTAGTTGTGCTACCTTGGAGGAAAGTTGCTCAACTTCTCTGAGCCTCAGTTTAGTCTTCTGTGAGAGGGGACTAACATCATTCCCATTTTTTTTTTAAAGGATTTTTTCTTAAACTTTTTTGAGGTAATTTTGGAAAGGATCATTCAAATTAACGTATGTGAAGCACCTAACATAACAGACCCTTGGTAAATGGTAGCAAAGAAGATTGTGATCATTAGGAGCTCCTGAGAGAGGGCAGGTGCCACAGGAAGGGATTGGACCAGATCAACATTTCAGTGTCTTCTGAGGATTATAATTTCTGGAAGTTGCTCCCAGATGGGGGACAACTTTCAACCTACGGTCAAATAAATATTGCTTAGAAACTCTCAATTTGCCTTTTGGAAATTTATTGTATACATTAGCATATTAATAGCTCTGAGAAATCCTGAAGAAAAGAGTCCGTTTAAGTTGGTTTAACCCAGTGATTCCCAAATACATCTGAGCAAAGAACCACCTTTTTTTAAAAAAGGAAGAGATGTTCTTTTGTTAGTAACATTCCATGAAATCAGTGTTCCTGGGAATTCACTTTGAAAAACATTGGACTAAGCACTCTTTAAGGTTCCTTCTGAAAGCTCTTGGTAGGTGGAGGGATTCTGGGTACCTGTCTTACTCAGCACCCATAAAGGCTATTTTATGAGCTTCCCAGAGTGTAAAAAGGCCAGGGGATAAACAGAGCTGCTGCTGGAACCTCTAAAATCCACTTATTAAAAGATACTGAATTGCTGGTGGGATATAAAATGGTGCAACCATTTTGGAAAATGGTCTGGAAGTTCCTCAAAAGAATAATATAAGAGTTACCATATGCTGTGACTAAATGTTTGTGTCTGCTCTCCAAAATTCATCTGATAAAATTCTAAACCCTGATGTGATGGCATTAGGAGGTGGGGCCTTGGGGAAGTAATTAGGTCATGAGAGTGGAGCCCTCATGAATGGGATTAGTGCCCTTAGAAAAAAAGGAAAGAGAGCTTGCTTTCTCTCCCTCTCTGTCTGCTCTCTACCATATGAGGATACAATGAGAAGAGGGCCGTTTGCAACCCAAAAAAGAACCCTCACCATTACCTGATCACGTCAGTGTGATTTCTGACTTCCAGCCTCCAGAACTGTGAAAAATAAATTTCTGATGTTGATAAGCCACCCAGTTTGTGGTATTTTATAATAGCAACCCAAGCTGACCAAGATACCACATGACCCAGCAATTCCACTCCTGGGAATTGAAAACATACGGTCATATAAAATCTTGTACATGAATGTTCACAGCAGCATTATTTAGGATAGCCAAAAAAGTAGAAACTACCCAAATGTCCATCAACTGGTGAATGGATATATAAAACTGCATGTCTGTATGGTGGAATATTATTCAGTCATTTAAAAAAATGAAGTTCTGATTCATGTTACAACATGAATCAGATGAATCTTGGAAACATTACGCTATGTGAAAGAAACCAATGCCAAAGGCCACATATTATGATTCCATTTGTATGAAATGTCCAGAATAGGCAAATAATTAGAGAAAGAAAGTAGATGAGTGATTACCTAGGATTGGGAGAGCTGGGAAGTGGCTGCTAAGGGGTACAGGGGCTTTTTGTGGTTCATGAAAATGTTCTAAAATTGATTGTGGCGATGGTTGTATAAATCTGAATATACTAAAAGCCATTGAATTGTACACTTTAAATGAGTGAATTTTGTGGTATGTGAGTAATAAAAGCTGTTACAAACAAACAAAAAACGACACTGACATGTTGAGGGAAAAGGAATTGGTCTAGAATCAGTGTAGTTGTCTAACTACAGTGAGTTTGAATGAGCAATCTCTTTAAATTGCAGGATTGAGCAAGGGTTGGTTTGTGGCTTGCTGTGTTTGTGGCCATTGCTATCAGGCCTCAATGTGGTGTACCAAACTGGGGTGTCCACTAACACAAAAGTCAGCTGCATACACATCCAGAAATGGTCTTCCCCTGGCCTCTTTGCAAATTGCGCATTCCACCCTGGACAATGTTTTATAGCAACCAATCATTTTACAAAGTATATGGTGATGTTTCTACAAAACCATCTCATTTCTGGTAGTGGTGGTGGTGATAGTGTGAAAGGAATGTAAATCATTTCCTCTTCCCAGAAGCAAAGCAAGTCATCTATGGCACCATCCTATCCCATGGATCCCATTCATGATAGAGCCAGATTTTTAGACCCAATAGGTGGCTGCTACATAAAGCACTCACAGCAAGAATGAAATTAATTGTCACTATTGTGCATTTAGTATGTAAAAAGATGTAGTGTTCTGTTTCCAAATTAAAATCTTGACTGTGTATTAGTCATTGTTACTCTCCTCCACCATCTTTCTGATTAAGTGATATTAATAGTCAACAGATTAACTGATAGGGTACAAATGAGAGCTTTAGTTGTATTAACTACCAAAAAGAAATAATTTATTCTCTTATTTTAAGCCAATGCAATTTCTCCTTTAATTAGATTTGTACTCTTGTCAATTAATAAAACATAAATACAAAAACCTATAGTTGTACGTATATGTCTAATAATCATCTCCTACTTAAATGACTTCAATATTTCTAGCTCCCGGGAAAGGAACTGACAGGGAGAGAATGTGGATGTGACTCGGCTGCATAAACGTCATGCGAACGTTTGCAGATTGCTTAACCTGGCAAGATTTAGTTTCCTTACCTCTCAAATAAAGATCATAATTTTTTATCTGCCATCTTAAATGTGTCAATTGTTGCTTGCCCTGTCCAAAGGCCCAGCTAGCCAGTAACCCATGATTTGTTAGTTTCTAAAGAGTGAAGCACTCAGACAACCAGATTACCTCTTCCAGGAATTTGAACTGAGACAAGGATGTTGGCCATTGGTGATTCTAAGAGATATATAAGAAAAGCCCAAGGTCTTTTTCCTGCTCTCACACAGCCAAAACCACTCAACATAGAGCATGTCACCTCTGGTCACCAACAAGTGGGTGGGGATTTCTCTCCACCAGCAACCAATTCTGCAGCACATTTTCCAGCAGGCCAGGAGGATGTTCTCTGATTCCATTCAATTCTGACACTATCTACTGTGAAATAGACATTTCACAATATCACAGTGGTGCATGGTCAAACTGAGAAGTGAGGATTGCTGCCTTGTGTGAAATGAGAAAGACGGGGAAATGATCAAGAAAGAGAAAAGTAAGAGCAGAAAGCCAGAAGTAGAGATAAGACGGACCATGTGGTCTGTTGAGACAAAGTAGCACTGGATCTCAGCCTTCCTGGTTTTCCTGAGGTCTCTAAATATTTATACTGAGCTGAGCTTCACTTTGACTTAATTTCATCAAGTTTGAGTGTGTCTCTGTTTCTTGGAAAAAAAAAAAAGAAGGTGGAGGGAGGCTACAGTGCAGCTTTCCTGAAAACATCTTCCTTGCTACCTTATAGAATTGGACGAAGGTCCAGATGACTTCCCCTGATTGAATGTGGGCAAGCAGCAGTGCCTTTCTAATCTTTGTGTTACCGAAATATTTGCTTAATTGAACTGAAATTGGTTAAAGTGTGTGAAGATGCTTTGAAAACTTTGAAGCACGCTGCTGCTGGAGAGCAGAAGGGATTATTAACAATCTGACTAAGATTTTATGAAATCCCCATTAGTCATTTTTGTGTAACTGCCACAATGAATAAAGCCAAGAGAAATGGCTAACGTAGAGAGAAATTGGGTGGATTTTCACTTCTTCATCTGAGCAATTTTAACTTTAACCCTATCCTAAAGTGAAAGTAGAGCCTAAGAGTGTTCTCCTTAACCAGTAAGCAAGGCAGCTCCTGCCTGGAACCGACATTTAGATCCCTGTAGACAGGAAGCACATTTGTCCATTTTTGTAAATTTTCTAGCACAGAGCTGTCAGGGTCTAGGAAAAGACTAGATTGTCCATCACAGTGAAATTCCTTGCTTCTCTGCTGCAGATGGAGCTATAATATGAATCGAAGCATTAAGTTGACCAGTTGCACAAGTCTCCATTTTGTGCACATGGGAATTAAGACAATAACTAAATCCCCTGTTATTAAAGAAGTGCTTTGGTGGATGTTAAATTTTCTTGGCTATCTAGACTGGCCCACTTCACTGGTCACTCTAATTTACCTGCATAACCTCTGGGCAACCTACTAAAACATGGAGAAAAAGAGAAGACACAACCATCCAAGGATTAAAGCAAGACAGAGGATGGAAGAAAAGGTGGACTATTCTCTTCACTGTGTGGCTATCTGCCATGTCCAAACTTGTAGCAGTTCTACCTTGTGTGGGAGAAGAAATTCTAGATGCAGAAATATTCGGAAGAGGACCTACACATTCAAATGGGTGCCTAGGAGCCTAGGAGCTGACTGACCCACCACTGGCCACCACTGCCACCCTCATATTTTACAAGGCAAACACACCTGCCAGCTAGGATAGGAAAGACAGACCACCTTTAAAATGTCTGCAAACAACCTCTCCCCATCTTTGATACAACCTTCTGGGTTTTAATTGCTCCCCGAAAGTGAGAGCCATCCCAGGATCCTTCGGTGACATTTTCCAGTTTCCTGTCGGCTCCACTTATGAGAAACAAATGGGCTGGCTGGCCTCCCTCTAGATTGAGTTTTTCATGAAGTCATTACTTCTGTCACGGGAAGTATTTTCAAATTGAAAAATCTGAAACAATAAATGATGGTGAAGCAGTTAATAACTGTTAAGAAATCACATTTGGAAAATTGCATTTAAGCAATAACCTTTCTCCCTGTAATTAAATGACAGAAAGGTCTTGGTTTTAATTAAGTCAGCAATTTATAGTTATGAAGCTATACTTCACTATGCAGATTAGCAAATGATAGGTCACAGAACACCCTGAGTGCATTTTGAGTGGGTCTGATATGGTAATTACTCCACTGTTCAGTGGTGACCACATTGAACCGTATCTCTAGATGAAACAATTTTCTTTTCCTTGCTCCATGATGTATAACTAGGATGAGTAAATGTACCACGAGCACTGCCTTGTGCATCTTTAAATTAAAATGGATTTTAAATGACGGGGCATGAGCGGAGGGAGCGTGGTTGAAGAACAGCACCGGGAGTGAATGGGCCACTAGTCAATGCCTGCAAGCAGAGAATATATCATTGTTTTACAGGGCTTTCTATCTTGTGCCTGAGTATTTGCTGCAGATTTATGAGGAAGTAAAATGCTAATGTTAGTGTATTTATAAACATATGATGGGGGTTTCATCTATAATTTATTCGCCGGCCCTACCCTTATCCTCCTTGGAAAGGAAAATGAAATGCAATGTTGGACAGCCAGAAGAGTCATTGATACGGCTTTCACATTTTATTTAACTAACCCTCGGCTCATATTACACATTGATGATCACATTGTGAGATGTTTTTTGAAATGCTTATTGTGTCTTGTATCTGCCTCAGCCTCAGCTAGTCCAGAATTCTAGCAGTCACCAAATGACTTCAAATAGCCAAGTAAGAGTACGCTAGTGGATGGTCCTGCGTGTGTGTCTGTGTGTGTGTGTGTTTGTGTGTGTGTGTGTGTGTGTGTGTGTGTGAGGAGTCCTAGAGGGAAGAGAAAATCCAGTCCCTGAAAATCATGTCATTTTTCACTTCACTCTTAAAATTTCAGGAGCATCTGAACCCTAAAAGATGACTTGTTTTCAGGTGTTTCGTTTCTTCTCCAAACCCCTTATTTTCCTGCCTCTCTCCATTAATGCATCTCTCCACCCAAACACATAGAGAGCGTTGGCTGCAGAGGAAGGTATTCAAGCATTGAGACAAGCATCCCAGGCTAAGCACAGCCCACGTGGCAGAGGGGGCTAAGCACGAGAAGACCCCCTTATGTGATGCCGGCATTTCTCCCGGGCAGGAACTTTGACTTCTGTTTCTCAGCTCTGTGTTTTATACTGTTTGTTCCCCCTACCACACACACAAGTAAAGACGTGAAATGAATCAGATTTGATTTAAGCTGACCTGTAAATCACTCAGTGTGTCATAACTAATAGTGACTCCCTGTTCCAGACAATCAGAAGCAAACCAAGATGCTCCTAAGTCAAGAATTTCTCCTTAAAAAAAAAAATACTGAATTTTCTTATAGAGAAAAAAAAGATACAAATGCACTTCTTATCCACCCTCCCTTGGGCATTTTGGAATTCTAAAAGAGACTTAAAATTATTGTATTCTCAGAAAAATTACCAAGATTATATTTAAAAGGGAAAAAATATGACCATAGCATTTTTAAGGATTACGTCATGCATGTTTAATTCAAATGTAGCTACACAGATATTCCCAAGTCACCCAGCCCGCTGGGACTGGCTGTTGAGATTTTTTCATTGAGAGCCCTCACCAGCATATGGAGGGAAACACAGTGTTCTTCTCAATATCTCCCAGTGATTCTTGGAGTGACTCAGGTTTCCCACAGACATCTCCAATCTGAATGCCAGTTTTTGCTGAATCCTACAGCTTTTCTGCACTTTGCCTTCTGTGTCTACCACCCCCTTTCTGTGCTGGGCCACTCCACTGGGCACAACCCCAATGTCTTTCTTCCCCAGAATCCTCATGACCGAAGGCTCTGGAGGCAGTAAGTGCTTCCCGAAAGTTTGAGACAATGACCTCACAGCTCAG